>NC_000024.10:10053713-10266944 GCF_000001405.40 Homo sapiens | reverse complement strand
GAATTCCGACATAGTTCTTTGTGATGTGTGCATTCAACTCACATAGTTGAAACCATCTCTTGATCGAGTAGTTTTGAACCTCTCTTGTTGTAGAATCTGAAAGTGGATATTTGTGTCCCCTGGCGGTCTATGGTGGAAAAGAAATATCTTCACAAAAATACTACACAGAAGCATTCTGAGAAACTTCTTTGTGATGTGTCCATTCATCTCACAGAGTTGAACCTTTCTTTTGATTGAGCAGTTTTGAAATACTCCTTTTGTAGAATCTGCAAGTGGATATTTTGAGTGCTTTGAGAACTATTGTGGAAAAGGAATTATCTTCTCATAAAACCTACACTGAAGGATTCTGAGAAATTTCTTGTGATGTGTGCATTCATCTCACAGAGTTGAACATTTCCTATGATTGAGCAGTTTGGAAATATTCTTTTCATAGAATCTGGAAGTGGATATTTGGAGCCCTTTGAGGCCTATTGTGGAAAAGGAAATATCTTCACATAAAAACTACAGAGAAGCATTCTGAGAAACTTCTTTGTGATGTGTGCATTCATCAAACAGAATTGAACATTTCTTTTTTTGTGCAGTTTTGAAACAATCTTCTTGTAGTATCTGCAAGTGGATATTTGGAGCGTTTTAAGACCTAAGGTGGGAAAGGAAATATCTTCACATAAAAATTACACAGAGAGATTCTGAGAAACTTCTTTGTGATGTGTGCATTCATCTCATATATTTGAACCTTTCTTTTCATTGTGCAGTTTCCAAGCAATCTTTTTCTAGAATATGTAAGTGGATATTTGGAGCACTTTGTGGACTATGGAGGGAAAAGAAATGTCTTCACATAAAAACTACACAGAAGCATTGGGAGAAAATTCTTGTGATATTTGTGTTCAACCCACAAAGTTGAACATATTGTTTGATAGAGCAGTTGTGAAACTCTCTTTTTGTAGAATCTGCAAGTGGGTATTTGGAGCCCTTTGTGGCCCATGGTAGAAAAGGAACTATCTTCACAGAAAAACTACCCAGAAGCATTTTGAGAAACTCCTTTGTGATTTGTGCACTCATCTCACGGTGTTGAAACTTTATTTTTATTGAGCAATTTTGAACATTCCTTTTTATAGAATCTACAAGTGGATATTTGGAGTGGTTTGAGACCTATGGTAGAAAAAGAACTATCTTCACCGAAAAACCACACAGAAGCATTTTGAGAAGCTTCTTTTTGATGTATGCATTCAACTCACAGAGACGAACTGATCTTTTGATAGAGCAGTTTTGAAACTCACTTTTGTAGAATCTGCAGGTGGATATTTGGAGTACATTGCGGCCTATGGTGAAAAAGGAACTATCTTCGCATGAGAACCAGGCAGAAACATTCTGAGAAACTAGTTTGTGATGTGTGCATTCATCTCACAGAGTTGAAATCATTTTTTGATTTGAGTAGTTTGGAAACACTCTTTTTGTGGAATCTCTAAGGGCATATTTGAAGCGTTTTGCACGCTGTTGTGGAAAAGGAAATATCTTCACATAAAAACTACACAGAAGCATTCTGAGAAACTACTTTGTGATGTGGGCATTCATGTCACGGTTTTGAACCTTCCATTTGATTGAGCAGTTTTGAAATACTCGTTTGGTAGAATGTACAAGTGAATATTTGGAGCACTTTGAGGCCTATGATAGAAACGGAAATATGTTTACATAAAAACTACACAGAAGCATGCTGAGAAACCGCTTTGTGATGTGTGTATTCACCTCCGGGAGTTCAACCTATCATTTGACAGAGCGGTTTTGAAACTCTTTTTGTAGAATCTCCAAGTGGATATTTGGAGCCCTTTGCATTCTACTGTGAAAAGGAAATATCTTCACATCAAAACTACACAGACGCATTCTGAGAAACTTCTTTGTGATGTTTGCTTTCAACTCACAGAATTGAACCTTTTGTTTGAGTAGTTTTGAAACTCTCTTTTTGTAGAATCTAGAAGTGGATATTTAGAACGCTTGGAGGCCTATGGTGCAAAAACGAATAACTTCACACAAAAAATACACAGAAGCATTCTGAGAAACTTCTTTACGATGTCTGCATTCACCTCACAGATTTGAATGTCTCTTTTGATTGAGCAGTTTGGAAGCACTCTTTCGGTAGAATCTGCAAGTGGATATGGAGAGAGCTTTGAGGCCTGTTGTGGAAAACTAAATGTCTTCATATAAAAGCTACACAGAAGCATTCTGAGAAACTCCTTTGTTATGTGTGCATTCATCTCACAGAGTTGAACCTTTCTTTTGATTCGGCAGTTTTGAAACACGGTTTCTGTAGAATCTTCAAGTGGATATTTGGAGCACTTTTCTGCCTATTGTGTAAAAGGAAATATCTTTACGTAAGAACTACACAGAAGCATTCTGAGAAACTTCTTTGTGATGTTCTTAACTCACAGCGTTAAACTTACCTTTGGTAGAGCAGTTTTGAAACTCTCTTTTTGTGGAAAATGTAAGTGGGTATTTAGAGCCATTTGTGGCCTATGGTGGAAAGGAAAATATCTTCACATAAAAACTACACAGAAGCATTCTGAGAAACTACCTTTTGATGTGTGTATTTGTCTCAGACTGGAACCTTCCTTTTGATTGAGCAGTTCTGAAACACTCTTTTTGTAGAATCTGGAAGTGCATATTTGGAGTGCTTTGAGGCCTATGGTGGAAAAAGAAATATCTTCATTTAAAAACTACACAGAAGCATTCTGAGAAACTTCTTTGTGATGTGTGTGTGTATTCATACCACAGAGTCGAAACTATCGTTTGAGAGAGCATTTCGAAACTTTCTTTTTGTAGGATCTGCAAGTGGATATTTGGAGGGCTTTCAGGCCTATGGTGGAAAAGGAAATATCTTCACATAAACACTACTCAGAAGTATTCTGAGAAACTTTTTTTGTGGAATCTGGCAATTGGATATTTGGAACGCTTTGAGGCCTATTGTGGAAAAGGCAATATCTTCACATAAAAACTACACAGAAACATTCCGAGAAACTTCTCTGTGATGTGTGCACTCATCTCACGGAGTTGAACCTTTCTTTGATTGACAAGTTTTGAAAGACTATGTTTCTATAATGTGCAAGTGGATATTTGGAGTGCTTTGAGGCATATGGTGGAAAAGGAAATATATTCACATAAAACTATACAGAAGCGTTCCCAGAAACTTATTTGTGATGTGCTTATTCAACTCGCAGAGTTGACCCTATCTTTTGATACAGCAGTTTTGAAACTCTCTTTTTGTAGAATCTGCAAGTGGATATTTGCAGCGCTTTGAGGCCTGCGGTGGAAAAGGAAATATCTTCACATAAAAACTACACAGAAGCATTCTCAGTAACTTCTTTGTAATGTGTGCATTCACCTCACAGACTTGAAACTTCCTCTTGATTGAGCAGCTTGGAAACACACTTTTAGTGAAATCTGCAAGTGGATATTTGGAGCACCTTGAGGCCTGTTGTGGAAAAGGAAATATCTTCACATAAAAACTACACAGAAGCATTCCAATAAACTTGTTTGTGATATGTACCTTCAACTGACAGATTTGAACCTTTCTTTTGATTAAATAGTTTTGAAAATCTCTTTTTGTAGAATCTGCAAGTGGATATTTGGAGTGCTTTGAGGCCTATGGTGGAAAAGGAAATATCTTTACATAAAAACTACACAGAAGCATTCTGAGAAACTACTTTGTGATGTGTGCATTCATATCACATAGTTGAACCTATCTTTTGATAGAGCACTTTTGAAACTCTCTTTTTGTAGAATCTGCAAGTGGATATTTGGAGCCCTTTGCAGCCTATGGTGGAAAAGGAAACATCTTCACATAAAAACTACACAGAAGCATTCTCAGAAACTACTTTGTGATGTGTGCGTTCAGCTCACAGACTTGAAACTTCCTCTTGATTGAGCAGTTTGGAAACACTCTTTAGTAAAATCTGCAAGTGGATATTCGGAGCACTTTGAGGCCTGTTGTGGAGAAGGAAATATCTTCACATAAAAACTACACAGACGCATTCCGAGAAACTTGTTTGTGATATGTGCATTCAACTGACAGAGTTGAACCTTTCTTTTGATTGACTAGTTTTGAAAATCTCTTTTTGTAGAATCTGCAAGTGGATATTTGGAGTGCTTTGAGGCCTATGGTGGAAAAGGAAATATCTTCATATGAAAACTACACAGAAGCATTCTGAGAAAATTCTTTGTGATGTGTGCATTCAAACCACAGACTTGAACTGATCTTTTGATAGAGCAGTTTTTAAAGTGTCTTTCTGTAGAATCTGCAAGTGGTTACTTGGAGACCTTTGTGGAAGATGGTGGAAAAGGAAATGTCTTCCCGTAAAAACTACACAGATGCATTCTGAGAAACTTCTTTGTGATGTGTGCATTCATCTCACAGAGTTCAACCTATCTTTTCGTAGAGCAGTTTTGAAACTCTCTTTTCCTAGAATCTGTAAGTTGATATTTGGAGCCCTTTGCGGCCTATTGTGGAAAAGGAAATAACTTCACATGAAAACTACACAGAAGCTGAGAAACTTCTTTGTGATGTGTGCATTAATTTCCCAGAGTCGAACCTTTCTTTTGATTGAGCAGTTTTGAAACACTCTTTTTGTAGAATCTGCAAGTGGACATTTGAAGCACTTTGAGGCCTATTGTTGAAAAGGAAACATCTTCATATAAAAACAACAAGGAAGCATTCTGAGAAACCATTTTGTGCTGTGTGCATTCACCTCACAGAGTTCAACTTTATTTGATACAGCAGTTTTGAAACACTCTTCTTGTGGAATCTGCAAGTGGAAATTGGGAAATATTTAGGCATATGGTGGAAAAGGAAACATCCGCACATAAAAACTACACAGACACATTCTGTGAAACTTCTTTGTGCTGTGTGCATTCAAACCACAGAGTTGAACCTATCTTTTGAATGAGCAGTTTTGAAACTCTCTTTTCATAGTATCTGCAAGTGGATATTTGGAGCCTTTTGTGGCCTACGGTGGGAAAGGAAATATCTTCATATAAAAACTACACAGAAGCATTCTGAGAAACTTCTCAGTGATGTGAGCATTCTTCTCACAGAGTTGAACTATCTTTTGATTGAGCAGTTTTGAAACACTGTTTTTTTTAGAATCTGCAAGTGAATATTTGGAGCCTTTTGGGTCTTATTGTGGAAAAGGAAATATCTTCACATAAAAACTACACAGAAGCATTCTGAGAAACTTCTTTGTCATGTGTGGATTCATCTCACAGAGTTAAATCTTTCTTTTGATTGAGCAGTTTGCAAACACTCTTTTTGTGGTATCTCCAGGAGGATATTTGGAGTGCTTTGAGGCCTATGTTGGAAAAGGAAGTATCTTCCCTTAAAAGCTATGCAGAAGCATTCTGAGAAACTTCCTTCTGATGTGTGCATTCATCTCACCTAGTTGAACCTTTCTTTTGGTTGTGCACTTTTGAAACACTCTTTTTGTGGAATCTGCAAGTGGATATCTGGATCACTTTGACGTCTATTGTGGAAAAGGAAATATCTTCACATAAAAACTACACAGAAGAATTCCGACATAGTTCTTTGTGATGTGTGCATTCAACTCACATAGTTGAAACCATCTCTTGATCGAGTAGTTTTGAACCTCTCTTGTTGTAGAATCTGAAAGTGGATATTTGTGTCCCCTGGCGGTCTATGGTGGAAAAGAAATATCTTCACAAAAATACTACACAGAAGCATTCTGAGAAACTTCTTTGTGATGTGTCCATTCATCTCACAGAGTTGAACCTTTCTTTTGATTGAGCAGTTTTGAAATACTCCTTTTGTAGAATCTGCAAGTGGATATTTTGAGTGCTTTGAGAACTATTGTGGAAAAGGAATTATCTTCTCATAAAACCTACACTGAAGGATTCTGAGAAATTTCTTGTGATGTGTGCATTCATCTCACAGAGTTGAACATTTCCTATGATTGAGCAGTTTGGAAATATTCTTTTCATAGAATCTGGAAGTGGATATTTGGAGCCCTTTGAGGCCTATTGTGGAAAAGGAAATATCTTCACATAAAAACTACAGAGAAGCATTCTGAGAAACTTCTTTGTGATGTGTGCATTCATCAAACAGAATTGAACATTTCTTTTTTTGTGCAGTTTTGAAACAATCTTCTTGTAGTATCTGCAAGTGGATATTTGGAGCGTTTTAAGACCTAAGGTGGGAAAGGAAATATCTTCACATAAAAATTACACAGAGAGATTCTGAGAAACTTCTTTGTGATGTGTGCATTCATCTCATATATTTGAACCTTTCTTTTCATTGTGCAGTTTCCAAGCAATCTTTTTCTAGAATATGTAAGTGGATATTTGGAGCACTTTGTGGACTATGGAGGGAAAAGAAATGTCTTCACATAAAAACTACACAGAAGCATTGGGAGAAAATTCTTGTGATATTTGTGTTCAACCCACAAAGTTGAACATATTGTTTGATAGAGCAGTTGTGAAACTCTCTTTTTGTAGAATCTGCAAGTGGGTATTTGGAGCCCTTTGTGGCCCATGGTAGAAAAGGAACTATCTTCACAGAAAAACTACCCAGAAGCATTTTGAGAAACTCCTTTGTGATTTGTGCACTCATCTCACGGTGTTGAAACTTTATTTTTATTGAGCAATTTTGAACATTCCTTTTTATAGAATCTACAAGTGGATATTTGGAGTGGTTTGAGACCTATGGTAGAAAAAGAACTATCTTCACCGAAAAACCACACAGAAGCATTTTGAGAAGCTTCTTTTTGATGTATGCATTCAACTCACAGAGACGAACTGATCTTTTGATAGAGCAGTTTTGAAACTCACTTTTGTAGAATCTGCAGGTGGATATTTGGAGTACATTGCGGCCTATGGTGAAAAAGGAACTATCTTCGCATGAGAACCAGGCAGAAACATTCTGAGAAACTAGTTTGTGATGTGTGCATTCATCTCACAGAGTTGAAATCATTTTTTGATTTGAGTAGTTTGGAAACACTCTTTTTGTGGAATCTCTAAGGGCATATTTGAAGCGTTTTGCACGCTGTTGTGGAAAAGGAAATATCTTCACATAAAAACTACACAGAAGCATTCTGAGAAACTACTTTGTGATGTGGGCATTCATGTCACGGTTTTGAACCTTCCATTTGATTGAGCAGTTTTGAAATACTCGTTTGGTAGAATGTACAAGTGAATATTTGGAGCACTTTGAGGCCTATGATAGAAACGGAAATATGTTTACATAAAAACTACACAGAAGCATGCTGAGAAACCTCTTTGTGATGTGTGTATTCACCTCCGGGAGTTCAACCTATCATTTGACAGAGCGGTTTTGAAACTCTTTTTGTAGAATCTCCAAGTGGATATTTGGAGCCCTTTGCATTCTACTGTGAAAAGGAAATATCTTCACATCAAAACTACACAGACGCATTCTGAGAAACTTCTTTGTGATGTTTGCTTTCAACTCACAGAATTGAACCTTTTGTTTGAGTAGTTTTGAAACTCTCTTTTTGTAGAATCTAGAAGTGGATATTTAGAACGCTTGGAGGCCTATGGTGCAAAAACGAATAACTTCACACAAAAAATACACAGAAGCATTCTGAGAAACTTCTTTACGATGTCTGCATTCACCTCACAGATTTGAATGTCTCTTTTGATTGAGCAGTTTGGAAGCACTCTTTCGGTAGAATCTGCAAGTGGATATGGAGAGAGCTTTGAGGCCTGTTGTGGAAAACTAAATGTCTTCATATAAAAGCTACACAGAAGCATTCTGAGAAACTCCTTTGTTATGTGTGCATTCATCTCACAGAGTTGAACCTTTCTTTTGATTCGGCAGTTTTGAAACACGGTTTTTGTAGAATCTTCAAGTGGATATTTGGAGCACTTTTCTGCCTATTGTGTAAAAGGAAATATCTTTACGTAAGAACTACACAGAAGCATTCTGAGAAACTTCTTTGTGATGTTCTTAACTCACAGCGTTAAACTTACCTTTGGTAGAGCAGTTTTGAAACTCTCTTTTTGTGGAAAATGTAAGTGGGTATTTAGAGCCATTTGTGGCCTATGGTGGAAAGGAAAATATCTTCACATAAAAACTACACAGAAGCATTCTGAGAAACTACCTTTTGATGTGTGTATTTGTCTCAGACTGGAACCTTCCTTTTGATTGAGCAGTTCTGAAACACTCTTTTTGTAGAATCTGGAAGTGCATATTTGGAGTGCTTTGAGGCCTATGGTGGAAAAAGAAATATCTTCATTTAAAAACTACACAGAAGCATTCTGAGAAACTTCTTTGTGATGTGTGTGTGTATTCATACCACAGAGTCGAAACTATCGTTTGAGAGAGCATTTCGAAACTTTCTTTTTGTAGGATCTGCAAGTGGATATTTGGAGGGCTTTCAGGCCTATGGTGGAAAAGGAAATATCTTCACATAAACACTACTCAGAAGCATTCTGAGAAACTTCTTCACGATGGTTGCACTAAACTCTCAGAGTTGAACTTATCTTTTGATAGAGCAGTTTTGAAACTCTGTGTTACTAGAATCTGCATGTGGTTATTTGGAGTCCTTTGTGGCCGATGGTGGAAAAGGAAATATCTTCCCCTAAAAAGTACACAGAAGCATTCTGAGAAACTTTTTTGACATGTGTGCACTAATCTCACAGAGTTTAATCTATCATTTGATTGAGCAGTTTTAAAAAACTTTTTTTGTGGAATCTGCAATTGGATATTTGGAACGCTTTGAGGCCTATTGTGGAAAAGGCAATATCTTCACATAAAAACTACACAGAAACATTCCGAGAAACTTCTCTGTGATGTGTGCACTCATCTCACGGAGTTGAACCTTTCTTTGATTGACAAGTTTTGAAAGACTATGTTTCTATAATGTGCAAGTGGATATTTGGAGTGCTTTGAGGCATATGGTGGAAAAGGAAATATATTCACATAAAACTATACAGAAGCGTTCCCAGAAACTTATTTGTGATGTGTTTATTCAACTCGCAGAGTTGACCCTATCTTTTGATACAGCAGTTTTGAAACTCTCTTTTTGTAGAATCTGCAAGTGGATATTTGCAGCGCTTTGAGGCCTGCGGTGGAAAAGGAAATATCTTCACATAAAAACTACACAGAAGCATTCTCAGTAACTTCTTTGTAATGTGTGCATTCACCTCACAGACTTGAAACTTCCTCTTGATTGAGCAGCTTGGAAACACACTTTTAGTGAAATCTGCAAGTGGATATTTGGAGCACCTGGAGGCCTGTTGTGGAAAAGGAAATATCTTCACATAAAAACTACACAGAAGCATTCCAATAAACTTGTTTGTGATATGTACCTTCAACTGACAGATTTGAACCTTTCTTTTGATTAAATAGTTTTGAAAATCTCTTTTTGTAGAATCTGCAAGTGGATATTTGGAGTGCTTTGAGGCCTATGGTGGAAAAGGAAATATCTTTACATAAAAACTACACAGAAGCATTCTGAGAAACTACTTTGTGATGTGTGCATTCATATCACATAGTTGAACCTATCTTTTGATAGAGCACTTTTGAAACTCTCTTTTTGTAGAATCTGCAAGTGGATATTTGGAGCCCTTTGCAGCCTATGGTGGAAAAGGAAACATCTTCACATAAAAACTACACAGAAGCATTCTCAGAAACTACTTTGTGATGTGTGCGTTCAGCTCACAGACTTGAAACTTCCTCTTGATTGAGCAGTTTGGAAACACTCTTTAGTAAAATCTGCAAGTGGATATTCGGAGCACTTTGAGGCCTGTTGTGGAGAAGGAAATATCTTCACATAAAAACTACACAGACGCATTCCGAGAAACTTGTTTGTGATATGTGCATTCAACTGACAGAGTTGAACCTTTCTTTTGATTGACTAGTTTTGAAAATCTCTTTTTGTAGAATCTGCAAGTGGATATTTGGAGTGCTTTGAGGCCTACGGTGGAAAAGGAAATATCTTCATATGAAAACTACACAGAAGCATTCTGAGAAAATTCTTTGTGATGTGTGCATTCATATCACATATTTGAACCTATCTTTTGATAGAGCATTTCGAAACTCTCTTTTTGTAGAATCTGCAAGTGGATATTTGGAGCCCTTTGTAGTCTATGGTGGAAAAGGAAATATCCTCACATAAAAACCACACAGAAGCATTCCCAGAAACTTTTTGTGATGTGTGCATTCATCTCACAGTGTTGAAACATTCTTTTAACTGAGCATTTTTGAAAAATTCTGTTTTTATAATTTGCAAGTGAATATTTGGAGCACTTTGAAGCCTATGGTGGATAAGGAAATATTTCACATAAAAACTACACAGAAGCATTCTCAGAAACTCCTTTGTGATGTGTGCATTCATCTCACAGAGTTGAACTTTTCTTTTGCTTGAGCAGTTTTGAAAGACTCTTTTTGTAGTTTCTGCAAGTGGATATTTGGAGTGCTTTGTGGCCTAAAGTGGAAAAGGAAATATCTTCACATGAAAACTACACAGAAGCATTCTGAGAAACTTGTCTGTGATGTGTGCATTCAACTCGCAGAGCTGAACCTATCTTTTGACAGAGCAGTTTTGAAACTCTCCTTGTGTAGAATCTGCATGTGGTTATTTGGAGGCCTTTGTGACCGATGGTGGAAAGGAAAACGCCTTCCCCAAAAAACTACACAAAAGCATTCTGAGAAACTTCTTTGTCAGGTGTGTATTCATTTCTTAGAGTTGAAGCTTCCATTTGATTGAGCAGTTTTGAAACACTCTTTTTGTAGAATCCACAATTGGATATTTGGAGGGCTTCGAGACCTATTGTGGAAAAGGAAGTATCTTCACTTAAAAACTACACAGAAGCATTTGCAGAAACTCCTTTGTTTTGTGTGCATTCATCTCACAGAGTTGAGCCTTTCTTTTGATTGAGCAGTTTTGAAAATCTCTTTTTGTAGAATCTGCAAGTGGATATTTGGAGCCCTTTGCAGCCTATGGTGGAAAAGAAAATATCTTAACATAAAAAATACACAGAAGCATTCTGAGAAACTTCTTTGTGATGTGTGCATTCAACTCATGCAGCTGAACCTCTTTTTTTGACAGAGCAGTTTTGAAACTCTCATTTTGTAGAATCTGCAAGTGTATATTTGGATATCTTTGAGACATATAGTGGAAAAGGAAATATCTTCCCATAAAACTACAATGAAGCCCTCTGAGAAACTTCGTTGTGATGTATGCATTAATCTCACGGAGTTCAACCTATCTTTTGATTGAGGAGTTTTGAATCTCTTTTTGTAGAATCTGCAAGTGGATACTTGGAGCCCTTTCCGGCCTATTTTGGAAAAGGAAATAAGTTCACATAAAAACTACCCAGAACCATAATGAGAAACTATCTTTTAATGTCTGCATTCATCTCACAGGGTTGAACGTTTCATTTGATTGAGCAGTTTTGAAACACTCTTTTTGTAGAATCTGCTATTGGATATTTGTAGTGCTTTGATGCCTATGGTAGAAAAGGAAAGATCTTCACATAAAAACTACAGAGAAGCATTGTGAGAAACGTCTTTGTTATTAGTGAATTCATCACAAAGAGTTGTACCTTTCTTTTGATTGAGCAGTTTTGAAACACTCTTTTTGTAGAATCTGCAAGTGGATATTTGGAGCACTTTGAGGCCTATGGTGGAAAAGAAAATATCTTCATATGAAAACTACACAGAAGCATTCTGAGAAAATTCTTTGTGATGTGTGCATTCAAACCACAGACTTGAACTGATCTTTTGATAGAGCAGTTTTTAAAGTGTCTTTCTGTAGAATCTGCAAGTGGTTACTTGGAGACCTTTGTGGAAGATGGTGGAAAAGGAAATATCTTCCCGTAAAAACTACACAGATGCATTCTGAGAAACTTCTTTGTGATGTGTGCATTCATCTCACAGAGTTCAACCTATCTTTTCGTAGAGCAGTTTTGAAACTCTCTTTTCCTAGAATCTGTAAGTTGATATTTGGAGTCCTTTGCGGCCTATTGTGGAAAAGGAAATAACTTCACATGAAAACTACACAGAAGCTGAGAAACTTCTTTGTGATGTGTGCATTAATTTCCCAGAGTCGAACCTTTCTTTTGATTGAGCAGTTTTGAAACACTCTTTTTGTAGAATCTGCAAGTGGACATTTGAAGCACTTTGAGGCCTATTGTTGAAAAGGAAACATCTTCATATAAAAACAACAAGGAAGCATTCTGAGAAACCATTTTGTGCTGTGTGCATTCACCTCACAGAGTTCAACTTTATTTGATACAGCAGTTTTGAAACACTCTTCTTGTGGAATCTGCAAGTGGAAATTGGGAAATATTTAGGCATATGGTGGAAAAGGAAACATCCGCACATAAAAACTACACAGACACATTCTGTGAAACTTCTTTGTGCTGTGTGCATTCAAACCACAGAGTTGAACCTATCTTTTGAATGAGCAGTTTTGAAACTCTCTTTTCATAGTATCTGCAAGTGGATATTTGGAGCCTTTTGTGGCCTACGGTGGGAAAGGAAATATCTTCATATAAAAACTACACAGAAGCATTCTGAGAAACTTCTCAGTGATGTGAGCATTCTTCTCACAGAGTTGAACCTTTCTTTTGATTGAGCAGTTTTGAAACACTGTTTTTTTTAGAATCTGCAAGTGAATATTTGGAGCCTTTTGGGTCTTATTGTGGAAAAGGAAATATCTTCACATAAAAACTACACAGAAGCATTCTGAGACACTTCTTTGTGGTATGTGCATTCATCTCACAGAGGTGAAACTTTCTTTTGATGGAGCAGTTTTGGAAATCTCTTTTTGTAGAATCTGCAAGTGGATATTTGGAGCACTTTGAGGCCCATTGTGGAAAAGGAAATATCTTTACATAAAAACTACACAGAAATCTGAGAAACATCTTTTTGTTGTGCGCATTCAACTCACAGAGTTGAACTATCTTTTGATTGTGCAGTTTTGAAACACTCTTTTTGTAGAATGTGAAAGTGGATATTTTGAGCGCTTTGAGGCCTATTGTGGAAAAAGAAATATCTTCAATTAAAAACTACACAGAAGCATTCTGAGAAACTTCTTTGTGATGTGTGGATTCATCTCACAGAGTTAAATCTTTCTTTTGATTGAGCAGTTTGCAAACACTCTTTTTGTGGTATCTCCAGGAGGATATTTGGAGTGCTTTGAGGCCTATGTTGGAAAAGGAAGTATCTTCCCTTAAAAGCTATGCAGAAGCATTCTGAGAAACTTCCTTCTGATGTGTGCATTCATCTCACCTAGTTGAACCTTTCTTTTGGTTGTGCACTTTTGAAACACTCTTTTTGTGGAATCTGCAAGTGGATATCTGGATCACTTTGACGTCTATTGTGGAAAAGGAAATATCTTCACATAAAAACTACACAGAAGAATTCCGACATAGTTCTTTGTGATGTGTGCATTCAACTCACATAGTTGAAACCATCTCTTGATCGAGTAGTTTTGAACCTCTCTTGTTGTAGAATCTGAAAGTGGATATTTGTGTCCCCTGGCGGTCTATGGTGGAAAAGAAATATCTTCACAAAAATACTACACAGAAGCATTCTGAGAAACTTCTTTGTGATGTGTCCATTCATCTCACAGAGTTGAACCTTTCTTTTGATTGAGCAGTTTTGAAATACTCCTTTTGTAGAATCTGCAAGTGGATATTTTGAGTGCTTTGAGAACTATTGTGGAAAAGGAATTATCTTCTCATAAAACCTACACTGAAGGATTCTGAGAAATTTCTTGTGATGTGTGCATTCATCTCACAGAGTTGAACATTTCCTATGATTGAGCAGCTTTGAAACACTGTTTTTTTTAGAATCTGCAAGTGAATATTTGGAGCCTTTTGGGTCTTATTGCGGAAAAGGAAATATCTTCACATAAAAACTACACAGAAGCATTCTGAGAAACTTCTTTGTCATGTGTGGATTCATCTCACAGAGTTAAATCTTTCTTTTGATTGAGCAGTTTGCAAACACTCTTTTTGTGGTATCTCCAGGAGGATATTTGGAGTGCTTTGAGGCCTATGTTGGAAAAGGAAGTATCTTCCCTTAAAAGCTATGCAGAAGCATTCTGAGAAACTTCCTTCTGATGTGTGCATTCATCTCACCTAGTTGAACCTTTCTTTTGGTTGTGCACTTTTGAAACACTCTTTTTGTGGAATCTGCAAGTGGATATCTGGATCACTTTGACGTCTATTGTGGAAAAGGAAATATCTTCACATAAAAACTACACAGAAGAATTCCGACATAGTTCTTTGTGATGTGTGCATTCAACTCACATAGTTGAAACCATCTCTTGATCGAGTAGTTTTGAACCTCTCTTGTTGTAGAATCTGAAAGTGGATATTTGTGTCCCCTGGCGGTCTATGGTGGAAAAGAAATATCTTCACAAAAATACTACACAGAAGCATTCTGAGAAACTTCTTTGTGATGTGTCCATTCATCCCACAGAGTTGAACCTTTCTTTTGATTGAGCAGTTTTGAAATACTCCTTTTGTAGAATCTGCAAGTGGATATTTTGAGTGCTTTGAGAACTATTGTGGAAAAGGAATTATCTTCTCATAAAACCTACACTGAAGGATTCTGAGAAATTTCTTGTGATGTGTGCATTCATCTCACAGAGTTGAACATTTCCTATGATTGAGCAGTTTGGAAATATTCTTTTCATAGAATCTGGAAGTGGATATTTGGAGCCCTTTGAGGCCTATTGTGGAAAAGGAAATATCTTCACATAAAAACTACAGAGAAGCATTCTGAGAAACTTCTTTGTGATGTGTGCATTCATCAAACAGAATTGAACATTTCTTTTTTTGTGCAGTTTTGAAACAATCTTCTTGTAGTATCTGCAAGTGGATATTTGGAGCGTTTTAAGACCTAAGGTGGGAAAGGAAATATCTTCACATAAAAATTACACAGAGAGATTCTGAGAAACTTCTTTGTGATGTGTGCATTCATCTCATATATTTGAACCTTTCTTTTCATTGTGCAGTTTCCAAGCAATCTTTTTCTAGAATATGTAAGTGGATATTTGGAGCACTTTGTGGACTATGGAGGGAAAAGAAATGTCTTCACATAAAAACTACACAGAAGCATTGGGAGAAAATTCTTGTGATATTTGTGTTCAACCCACAAAGTTGAACATATTGTTTGATAGAGCAGTTGTGAAACTCTCTTTTTGTAGAATCTGCAAGTGGGTATTTGGAGCCCTTTGTGGCCCATGGTAGAAAAGGAACTATCTTCACAGAAAAACTACCCAGAAGCATTTTGAGAAACTCCTTTGTGATTTGTGCACTCATCTCACGGTGTTGAAACTTTATTTTTATTGAGCAATTTTGAACATTCCTTTTTATAGAATCTACAAGTGGATATTTGGAGTGGTTTGAGACCTATGGTAGAAAAAGAACTATCTTCACCGAAAAACCACACAGAAGCATTTTGAGAAGCTTCTTTTTGATGTATGCATTCAACTCACAGAGACGAACTGATCTTTTGATAGAGCAGTTTTGAAACTCACTTTTGTAGAATCTGCAGGTGGATATTTGGAGTACATTGCGGCCTATGGTGAAAAAGGAACTATCTTCGCATGAGAACCAGGCAGAAACATTCTGAGAAACTAGTTTGTGATGTGTGCATTCATCTCACAGAGTTGAAATCATTTTTTGATTTGAGTAGTTTGGAAACACTCTTTTTGTGGAATCTCTAAGGGCATATTTGAAGCGTTTTGCACGCTGTTGTGGAAAAGGAAATATCTTCACATAAAAACTACACAGAAGCATTCTGAGAAACTACTTTGTGATGTGGGCATTCATGTCACGGTTTTGAACCTTCCATTTGATTGAGCAGTTTTGAAATACTCGTTTGGTAGAATGTACAAGTGAATATTTGGAGCACTTTGAGGCCTATGATAGAAACGGAAATATGTTTACATAAAAACTACACAGAAGCATGCTGAGAAACCTCTTTGTGATGTGTGTATTCACCTCCGGGAGTTCAACCTATCATTTGACAGAGCGGTTTTGAAACTCTTTTTGTAGAATCTCCAAGTGGATATTTGGAGCCCTTTGCATTCTACTGTGAAAAGGAAATATCTTCACATCAAAACTACACAGACGCATTCTGAGAAACTTCTTTGTGATGTTTGCTTTCAACTCACAGAATTGAACCTTTTGTTTGAGTAGTTTTGAAACTCTCTTTTTGTAGAATCTAGAAGTGGATATTTAGAACGCTTGGAGGCCTATGGTGCAAAAACGAATAACTTCACACAAAAAATACACAGAAGCATTCTGAGAAACTTCTTTACGATGTCTGCATTCACCTCACAGATTTGAATGTCTCTTTTGATTGAGCAGTTTGGAAGCACTCTTTCGGTAGAATCTGCAAGTGGATATGGAGAGAGCTTTGAG
Organism: Homo sapiens; assembly: GCF_000001405.40. Lineage (NCBI taxonomy): Eukaryota > Metazoa > Chordata > Mammalia > Primates > Hominidae > Homo > Homo sapiens. The sequence goes on along the minus strand of NC_000024.10, from coordinate 10,250,540 downwards.
GCCTGTTGTGGAAAACTAAATGTCTTCATATAAAAGCTACACAGAAGCATTCTGAGAAACTCCTTTGTTATGTGTGCATTCATCTCACAGAGTTGAACCTTTCTTTTGATTCGGCAGTTTTGAAACACGGTTTCTGTAGAATCTTCAAGTGGATATTTGGAGCACTTTTCTGCCTATTGTGTAAAAGGAAATATCTTTACGTAAGAACTACACAGAAGCATTCTGAGAAACTTCTTTGTGATGTTCTTAACTCACAGCGTTAAACTTACCTTTGGTAGAGCAGTTTTGAAACTCTCTTTTTGTGGAAAATGTAAGTGGGTATTTAGAGCCATTTGTGGCCTATGGTGGAAAGGAAAATATCTTCACATAAAAACTACACAGAAGCATTCTGAGAAACTACCTTTTGATGTGTGTATTTGTCTCAGACTGGAACCTTCCTTTTGATTGAGCAGTTCTGAAACACTCTTTTTGTAGAATCTGGAAGTGCATATTTGGAGTGCTTTGAGGCCTATGGTGGAAAAAGAAATATCTTCATTTAAAAACTACACAGAAGCATTCTGAGAAACTTCTTTGTGATGTGTGTATTCATACCACAGAGTCGAAACTATCGTTTGAGAGAGCATTTCGAAACTTTCTTTTTGTAGGATCTGCAAGTGGATATTTGGAGGGCTTTCAGGCCTATGGTGGAAAAGGAAATATCTTCACATAAACACTACTCAGAAGCATTCTGAGAAACTTCTTCACGATGGTTGCACTAAACTCTCAGAGTTGAACTTATCTTTTGATAGAGCAGTTTTGAAACTCTGTGTTACTAGAATCTGCATGTGGTTATTTGGAGTCCTTTGTGGCCGATGGTGGAAAAGGAAATATCTTCCCCTAAAAAGTACACAGAAGCATTCTGAGAAACTTTTTTGACATGTGTGCACTAATCTCACAGAGTTTAATCTATCATTTGATTGAGCAGTTTTAAAAAACTTTTTTTGTGGAATCTGCAATTGGATATTTGGAACGCTTTGAGGCCTATTGTGGAAAAGGCAATATCTTCACATAAAAACTACACAGAAACATTCCGAGAAACTTCTCTGTGATGTGTGCACTCATCTCACGGAGTTGAACCTTTCTTTGATTGACAAGTTTTGAAAGACTATGTTTCTATAATGTGCAAGTGGATATTTGGAGTGCTTTGAGGCATATGGTGGAAAAGGAAATATATTCACATAAAACTATACAGAAGCGTTCCCAGAAACTTATTTGTGATGTGTTTATTCAACTCGCAGAGTTGACCCTATCTTTTGATACAGCAGTTTTGAAACTCTCTTTTTGTAGAATCTGCAAGTGGATATTTGCAGCGCTTTGAGGCCTGCGGTGGAAAAGGAAATATCTTCACATAAAAACTACACAGAAGCATTCTCAGTAACTTCTTTGTAATGTGTGCATTCACCTCACAGACTTGAAACTTCCTCTTGATTGAGCAGCTTGGAAACACACTTTTAGTGAAATCTGCAAGTGGATATTTGGAGCACCTTGAGGCCTGTTGTGGAAAAGGAAATATCTTCACATAAAAACTACACAGAAGCATTCCAATAAACTTGTTTGTGATATGTACCTTCAACTGACAGATTTGAACCTTTCTTTTGATTAAATAGTTTTGAAAATCTCTTTTTGTAGAATCTGCAAGTGGATATTTGGAGTGCTTTGAGGCCTATGGTGGAAAAGGAAATATCTTTACATAAAAACTACACAGAAGCATTCTGAGAAACTACTTTGTGATGTGTGCATTCATATCACATAGTTGAACCTATCTTTTGATAGAGCACTTTTGAAACTCTCTTTTTGTAGAATCTGCAAGTGGATATTTGGAGCCCTTTGCAGCCTATGGTGGAAAAGGAAACATCTTCACATAAAAACTACACAGAAGCATTCTCAGAAACTACTTTGTGATGTGTGCGTTCAGCTCACAGACTTGAAACTTCCTCTTGATTGAGCAGTTTGGAAACACTCTTTAGTAAAATCTGCAAGTGGATATTCGGAGCACTTTGAGGCCTGTTGTGGAGAAGGAAATATCTTCACATAAAAACTACACAGACGCATTCCGAGAAACTTGTTTGTGATATGTGCATTCAACTGACAGAGTTGAACCTTTCTTTTGATTGACTAGTTTTGAAAATCTCTTTTTGTAGAATCTGCAAGTGGATATTTGGAGTGCTTTGAGGCCTATGGTGGAAAAGGAAATATCTTCATATGAAAACTACACAGAAGCATTCTGAGAAAATTCTTTGTGATGTGTGCATTCAAACCACAGACTTGAACTGATCTTTTGATAGAGCAGTTTTTAAAGTGTCTTTCTGTAGAATCTGCAAGTGGTTACTTGGAGACCTTTGTGGAAGATGGTGGAAAAGGAAATATCTTCCCGTAAAAACTACACAGATGCATTCTGAGAAACTTCTTTGTGATGTGTGCATTCATCTCACAGAGTTCAACCTATCTTTTCGTAGAGCAGTTTTGAAACTCTCTTTTCCTAGAATCTGTAAGTTGATATTTGGAGCCCTTTGCGGCCTATTGTGGAAAAGGAAATAACTTCACATGAAAACTACACAGAAGCTGAGAAACTTCTTTGTGATGTGTGCATTAATTTCCCAGAGTCGAACCTTTCTTTTGATTGAGCAGTTTTGAAACACTCTTTTTGTAGAATCTGCAAGTGGACATTTGAAGCACTTTGAGGCCTATTGTTGAAAAGGAAACATCTTCATATAAAAACAACAAGGAAGCATTCTGAGAAACCATTTTGTGCTGTGTGCATTCACCTCACAGAGTTCAACTTTATTTGATACAGCAGTTTTGAAACACTCTTCTTGTAGAATCTGCAAGTGGAAATTGGGAAATATTTAGGCATATGGTGGAAAAGGAAACATCCGCACATAAAAACTACACAGACACATTCTGTGAAACTTCTTTGTGCTGTGTGCATTCAAACCACAGAGTTGAACCTATCTTTTGAATGAGCAGTTTTGAAACTCTCTTTTCATAGTATCTGCAAGTGGATATTTGGAGCCTTTTGTGGCCTACGGTGGGAAAGGAAATATCTTCATATAAAAACTACACAGAAGCATTCTGAGAAACTTCTCAGTGATGTGAGCATTCTTCTCACAGAGTTGAACTATCTTTTGATTGAGCAGTTTTGAAACACTGTTTTTTTTAGAATCTGCAAGTGAATATTTGGAGCCTTTTGGGTCTTATTGTGGAAAAGGAAATATCTTCACATAAAAACTACACAGAAGCATTCTGAGAAACTTCTTTGTCATGTGTGGATTCATCTCACAGAGTTAAATCTTTCTTTTGATTGAGCAGTTTGCAAACACTCTTTTTGTGGTATCTCCAGGAGGATATTTGGAGTGCTTTGAGGCCTATGTTGGAAAAGGAAGTATCTTCCCTTAAAAGCTATGCAGAAGCATTCTGAGAAACTTCCTTCTGATGTGTGCATTCATCTCACCTAGTTGAACCTTTCTTTTGGTTGTGCACTTTTGAAACACTCTTTTTGTGGAATCTGCAAGTGGATATCTGGATCACTTTGACGTCTATTGTGGAAAAGGAAATATCTTCACATAAAAACTACACAGAAGAATTCCGACATAGTTCTTTGTGATGTGTGCATTCAACTCACATAGTTGAAACCATCTCTTGATCGAGTAGTTTTGACCTCTCTTGTTGTAGATCTGAAGTGGATATTGTGTCCCTGGCGTCTATGTGGAAAGAATATCTCACAAAATACTACACAGAGCATCTGAGAACTCTTTGTGAGTGTCATCATCCAAGAGTGAACTTCTGTGATGAGCAGTTGAATACTCCTTTGTGATTTGTGCACTCATCTCACGGTGTTGAAACTTTATTTTTATTGAGCAATTTTGAACATTCCTTTTTATAGAATCTACAAGTGGATATTTGGAGTGGTTTGAGACCTATGGTAGAAAAAGAACTATCTTCACCGAAAAACCACACAGAAGCATTTTGAGAAGCTTCTTTTTGATGTATGCATTCAACTCACAGAGACGAACTGATCTTTTGATAGAGCAGTTTTGAAACTCACTTTTGTAGAATCTGCAGGTGGATATTTGGAGTACATTGCGGCCTATGGTGAAAAAGGAACTATCTTCGCATGAGAACCAGGCAGAAACATTCTGAGAAACTAGTTTGTGATGTGTGCATTCATCTCACAGAGTTGAAATCATTTTTTGATTTGAGTAGTTTGGAAACACTCTTTTTGTGGAATCTCTAAGGGCATATTTGAAGCGTTTTGCACGCTGTTGTGGAAAAGGAAATATCTTCACATAAAAACTACACAGAAGCATTCTGAGAAACTTCTTTGTGATGTGTGCATTCATCTCACAAAGTTGAACCGTTCTAATGGTTGAGCAGATTGGAAAAACTATTTTTGTTGAATCTGCACGTGGATATTTGGAGCGCTTTGAGGCCTTTGGTGGAAAAGGAAATGTCATCACATAAAAACTACACAGAAGCATTCTGAGAAACTGCTTTGTGTTGTGTGCATTCATCTCACAGTGTTGAACATTTCTTTTGATTGAGCAGTTTTCAAAGTCTCTTTTTGTAGAATCTGCAAGTGGATATTTGGAGTGCTTTGAGATGTATGGCGGAAAAGGAAATATCTTCACAGGAAAACTACACAGAAACATTCTGAGAAACTACTTTGTGATATGTGCATTCAACTCACAGAGTTGAACCTATCTATTGATAGAGCAGTTTTGAAACTCTCTTTTTGTAGAATCTGTAAGTGGATATTTGTAGCCCATTGTGGCCTGTGGTGGAAAAGGAAATATCTTCACATAAAAACTACACAGAAGCCTTCTGATATACTTCTTTGTGATGTGTGCGTTCAGCTAATCTATTTGAGCCTTTCATTTCATTGAGTAGTTTTGAAACACTCTTTTTTAGAATCTGCACGTGGCTGTTTTGGACCGCTTTTAGGCCTATGATGGAAAAGGAAATACCTTCACAAAAAATCTACACAGAAGTATCCTGAGAAACTTCTTTGTGATGTGTGCATTAATCTCACAAAATTGATCTTCTCTTTTGATTGAGCCATTTGGAAATACTATTTTTGTATAATCTACTAGTGGATATTTGGAGCGCTTTGAGGCTTACTGAGGAAAAGGAAATATCTTCACATAAAAACTACACAGAAGCATTCTGAGAAACTGCTTTGTGGTGTGTGCATTCATCTCACAGTGTTGAACGTTTCTTTTGATTGAGCAGTTTTCAAAGTCTCTTTTTGTAGAATCTGCAAGTGGATATTTGGAGTGCTTTGAGGTGTATGGCAGAAAAGGAAATATCTTCACAGGAAAACTACACAGAAACACTCTGACAAACTTCTTTGTGATGTGTGCATTAATCTCACAGAGTTGAACCTTTCTTTTGATTGATTAGTTTTGAAACAATATTTTAGTAGAATCTGCAATTGGATATTCGGAGCACATTTAGGGCTACTGTGGAAAAGGAAATATCTTCCCATAAATACTACACAGAAGCATTCTCAGAAACTTCTTTGTGATGTGTGCATTCACCTCAAAGTTTTGAAACTTTCTTTTGATTGAGCAGTTTTGAGACAAACTTTTTATAGGATCTGCTGGTGGGTATTTGAAGCATTTTGAGGCCTATGGTGGAAAAGGAATTGTTTTCACATAAATACTACACAAATGCATTCTGACAAATTTCTTTGTGATATGTGCATTCAACTCACCGTGTTCAACCTATCTTTTGATTGAGCAGTTTTGAGTCTTTCTTTTTTTAGAATTTGCAATGGGATAGTTGGAACCCTTTGTGGCATATGGTGGAAAAGGGAATATCTTCACATAAAAACTACACAGAAGTATTCTGAGAAACTCCTTTGTGATGTGTGCATTCATCTCACAGGGTTGAACCTTTCTTTTAATTCAGGAGTTTTGAAACACTCTGCTTATAGAATCTGCAAGTATATATTTGAAGCCCTTTGAGGCCTATTGTGGAAAAGGAAGTATCTTCACATAAAAACTAGACAGAAGCATTCTGAGAAACTACTTGGTGATGTGTGCATTCCTCTCACAGAGTTGAACATTTCTTTTGATTGAGCAGTTTGGAAGCACTCTTTTTGTAGAATCTGCAAGTGGATATTTGGAGCGCTTTGAGGCCTGTGGTGGAAAAGGAAATATCTTCACATAAAAACTACACAGAAGCATTCTGAGAAACTTCTTTGTGCTGTGTGCCTTCATATCACAGAGTTGAACCTATCTTTTGATAGAGTAGTTTTGAAACTGTCTTTTTGTAGAATCTGCAAGTGGATATCTGGAGCCCTTTGCTGCCTATGGTGGAAATGGAAATATCTTCACATAAAAATTACCCAGAAGCATTCTGAGAAATTTCTTTGTGCTGTGTGCATTCAAATCACATAGCTGAACCTATCTTTTGATAGAGTAATTTTGAAACTCTCTTTTTGTAGAATCCGTCAGTGGATATTTGGAGCCCTTTGCCGCCAAATGTGGAAATGGAAATATCTTCACATAAAAACTACACAGAAGCATTCTGAGAAATTCCTTTATGATGTGTGCGTTAATCTGACAGAGTTGAGCCTTTCATTTGATTGAGCTTTTTTGAAACACTCTTTTTGTAGGATCTGCAAGTGGATATTTGGAGCGATTTGAGGCTTACTGTGGAACAGGAAATATCTTCACTTAAAAACTACACAGAATGATTCTGAGAAACTTCTTTGTGTGCCTTCATGTCACAGAGTTGAACCTATCTTTTGATTGACCAGTTTTGAGTCTCTCTTTTTGTAGAATCTGCAAGTGGATATTTGGAGCATTTTGCAGACTATTTTGAAAAGAAAATATCTTCACATAAGAACTACACAGAAGCATTCTGAGAAACTTCTTTGTGATGTGTGCATTCATCTCACAGAATTGAACATTTCTTTTGATTGAGCAGTTTTGGAACACTCGTTTTATGGTATCTGCAAGTGGATAATTGAAGCTCTTTGAGACCTATTGTGGAATAGGAAATATTTTCACATAAAAACTATACAGAAGCACTCTGAGAAACTTATTTGTGAGGTGTGCATTCTTCTCACAGAGCTGAACCTCTCTTTTGATTGAGCAGCTTTGAAATCCTCTACTTTTAGAACCTGCAGGTGGATATTCAGAGTGCTTTGAGGACTGTTATGAAAAAGGAAGTATCTCCATGTAAAAACTACACATAAGCTTTGTGAGAAATTCCTTGTGATGTGTGCGTTCATCTCACAGAGTTGAAATTTATTTTGATTTAGCAGTTTTGAAACAATCATTTTGTAGAATATGAAAATGGATATTGGGAGTGCTTTTAGGCCTCTGGTGGAAAAATAAATATCTTCACCTAAAAACTGCACAGAAGTAGGGGGGCAGAGCCAAGATGGCCAAGTAGGAACAGCTCCAGTCTACAGCTCCCAGCATGAGCATCACAGAAGATGGGTGATTTCTGCATTTCCATCTGCAGTACCGGGTTCCTCTGACCAGGGAGTGCCAGACAGTGGGTGCAGGTCAGTGGGTGCATGAACCATGCACGAGCCGAAGCAGGGCAAGGCATTGCCTCACTTGGGAAGTGCAAGGGTTCAGGGAGTTCCCTTTTCTAGTCAAAGAAAGGGGTGACAGACGGCACCTGGAAAATGGGGTCACTCCCGCCCGAATACTGCACTTTTCCGGTGGGCTTAAAAGACGGTGCACCAGGAGATTATATCCCACACATGGCTCAGAGCATCCTATGACCATGGAGTCTCGCTGATTGCTAGCACAGCAGTCTGAGATAAAAATGCGAGGCAGCAGCGAGGCTGGTGGAGGGGAGACCAACATTGCCCAGGCTTGTTTAGGTAAACAAAGCAGCTGCTAAATTCGAACTGGGTGGAGCCCACCACAGCTCAAGGAGGCCTGCCTGCCTCTGTAGGCTACACCTCTCGGGGCAGGGCACAGACAAACAGAAAGACAGCAGTAACCTCTGCAGACTTAAATGTACCTGTCTGACAGCTTTGAAGAGATCAATGGTTCTCCCAGCATGCAGCTGGACATCTGAGAACAGGCAGACTGCCTCCTCAAGTGGGCCCCTGACCCCTGACCCACAAGCAGCCTAACTGGGAGGCACCCCTCAGTTAGGGGCACACTGACACCTCACACGGCTGAGTACTCCTCTGAGACAAAACTTCCAGAGGAACGATCAGACAACAGCATTCGCGGTTCATGAATATCCACTATTCTCCAGCCACTGCTGCTGATACCCAGGCCAACTGGGTATGGAGTGGACCTCTAGCAAACTCCAACAGACCTGCAGCTGAGGGTCCTGACTGTTAGAAGGAAAACTAACAAACAGAAAGGACATCCACACCAAAAACCCATCTGTACATCACCATCATCACAGACCAAAAGTAGATAAAACCAAAAAGATGGGGAAAAAACAGAGCAGAAAAACTGGAAACTCTAAAAAGCAGAGTGCCTCTCCTCCTCCAAAGGATCACAGTTCCTCACCAGCAATTGAACAAAGCTGGATGGAGAATGACTTTGACAAGCTGAGAGAAGAAGGCTTCAGATGATCAAATTACTCCGAGCTATGGGAGGACTTTCAAACCGAAGACAAATAATTTAAAACTTTGAAAAAAAAAATTAGAAGAATGTATAACTAGAAAGCCTCAGGAACTGATGTGATCAACTGGAAGAAAGGGTATCAGTGATGGAAGATGAAATGAATGAAATGAAGTGAGAAGGGAAGTTTAGAGAAAAAAGAATAAAAAGAAATGAGCAAAGCCTCCAAGAAATATAGGACTATGTGAAAAGACCAAATCTACATCTGATTGGTGTACCTGAAAGTGACGGGGAGAATGGAACCAAGTTGGAAAACACTCTGCAGAATATTAACCAGGAGAACTTCCCCAATCCAACAAGGCAGGCCAACATTCAGATACAGGAAATACAGAGAACACCACAAAGATACTCCTCGAGAAGAGTAACTCCAAGACACATAATTGTCAGATTCACCAAAGTTGAAATGAAGGAAAAAATGTTAAGGGCAGCCAGAGAGAAAGGTCGGGTTACCCTCAAAGGGAAGCCCATCAGACTAACAGTGGATCTCTCAGCAGAAACTGTAAAAGCCAGAAGAGAGTGAGGGCCAATATTCAACATTCTTAAAGAAAAGAATTTTCAACCCAGAATTTCATATCCAGCCAAACTAAGCTTCATAAGTGAAGGAGAAATAAAATAGTTTACACACAATCAAAAGCTGAGAGATGTTGAACTAGAAAAGCAAGAGCAAACACATTCAAAGGCTAGCAGAAGGCAAGAAATAACTAAAATCAGAGCAGAACTGAAGGAAATAGAGACACAAAAAATCCTTCAAAAATTAATGAATCCAGGAGCTGGTTTTTTGAAAGGATCAACAAAATTGATAGACTGCTAGTAAGACTAATAAAGAAAAAAAAGAGAGAAAAATCAAATAGATGCAATAAAAAATGATAAAGGGGATATCACCACCGATCCCACAGAAATAGAAACTACCATCAGAGAATACGATAAACACCTTTATGCAAATAAACTAGAAAATCAAGAAGAAATGGATAAATTCCTCGACACATACACTCTCCCAAGACTAAACCAGGAAGAAGTTGAATCTCTGAATAGACCAATAACAGGAGCTGATATTGTGGCAATAATCAATAGATACCAACAAAAAAGAGCCCAGGACCAGATGGAATCTGAGCCGAATTCTACCAGAGATACAAGGAGGAATTGGTAGCATTCCTTCTGAAACTATTCCAATCAATAGAAAAAGAGGAAATCCTCCCTAACTCATTTTATGAGGCCAGCATCATCCTGATACCAAAGACGGGCAGAGACACAACCAAAAAAGGTTATTTTACACCAATAACCTTGATGAACATTGATGCAAAAATCCTCAATAAAATACTGGCAAACCGAATCCAGCAGCACATCAAAAAGCTTATCCACCATGATCAAGTGGGCTTCATCCCTGGGATGCAAGACTGGTTCAACATATGCAAATCGATAAACGTAATCCAGCATACAAACAGAACCAAAGACAAAAACCACATGATTATCTCAATAGATGCTGAAAAGGCCTTTGACAAAATTCAACAATGCTTCATGCCAAAAACTCTCAATAAATTAGGTATTGATGGGACGTATCCCAAAATAATAAGAGCTATCTATGACAAACCCATAGCCAATATCATACTGAATGGGCAAAAACTGGAAGCATTCCCTTTGAAAACTGGAACAAGACAGGGATGCCCCCTCTTTCCACTCCTATTCAACATAGTGTTGGATGTTCTGGCCAAGTCAATTAGGCAGGAGAAGGAAATAAAGGGTATTCAATTAGGAAAGAGGAAGTCAAATTGTCCCTGTTGGCAGACGACATGATTGTATATCTAGAAAACTCCATTGTCTCAGACCAAAATCTCCTTAAGCTGATAAGCATCTTAAGCAAGTCTCGGGATACAAAATCAATGTACAAAAATTACAAGCATTCTTATACACCAATAACAGACAGACAGAGAGTCAAATCATGAGTGAACTCACATTCACAATTGCTTCAAAGAGAAAAGATACCTAGGAATCCAAATTACACAGGATATGAAGGACGTATTCAAGGAGAACTATAAACCATTGCCCAATGGAATAAAAGGGGATACAAATGGAAGATCATTCCATGCACATAGGTGGGAAGAATGAACATCGTGAAAATGTCCATACTGCCCAAGGTAATTTATAGATTCAATTCCATCCCCATCAAGCTACCGATGACTTTCTTCACAGAATTGGAAAAAACTACTTTAACGTTCATATGGAACCAAAAAACAGCCTTCATCACCAAGTCAATCCTAAGCCAAAAGAAGAAAGCTGGAGTCATCACGCTACCTGACTTCAAACTATACTACAAGTCTACAGTAACCAAAACAGCATGGTACTAGTACCAAAACAGAGATATAGATCAATGGACAGAAAAGAGCCCTCAGAAATAACCCCACATATCTACAACTATCTGATTTTGACAAACCTGAGAAAAACAAGCAATGGGGAAAGGATTCCCTATTTAGTAAATGGTGCTGGGAAAATTGGCTAGCCATATGTAGAAAGCTGAAACTGGACCCCTTCCTTACACCCTATACAAAAATCAATTCAAGATGGATTAAAGACTTAAACATTAGACCTAAAACCATACAAACCCTAGAAGAAAACCTAGACATTACCATTCAGGACATGGGCATGGGCAAGGACTTCATGTCTAAAACACCAAAAGCAATGGCAGCAAATGCCAAAATTGACAAATTGGATCTAATTACACTAAAGAGCTTCTGCACAGCAAAAGAAACTACCATCAGAGTGAACAGGCAATCTACAAAATGGGAGAAAATTTTCACAACCTACTCATCTGACAAAGGGCTAATATCCGGAATCTACAATGAACCCAAACAAATTTACAAGAAAAAAACAAACAACCCCATCAAAAATTGGGCAAAGAACACGAGCAGACACTTCTCAAAAGAAGACATTTATGCAGCCAAAAAACACATGAAAAATGCTCACCATCACTGGCCATCAGAGAAATGCAAATCAAAACCACAAGGAGATACCATCTCACAGCTGTTAGAATGGCAATCATTAAAAAGTCAGGAAACAATTGTTGCTGGAGAGGATGTGGAGGAATAGGAAAACCTTTACACTGTTGGTGGGACTGTAAACCAGTTCAACCATTGTGGAAGTCAGTGTGGTGATTCCTCTGGGATCTAGAACTAGAAATACCATTTGACCCAGCCATCCCATTACTGGGTATATACCCAAAGGACTATAAATCATGCTGCTATAAAGACACATGCACACATATGTTTTTTGTGGCATTATTCACAATAGCAAAGACCTGGAACCAACCCAAATGTCCAACAATGATAGACTGGATTAAGAAAATGGGGCACATATACACTATGGAATACTATGCAGCCATGAAAAATGATGAGTTCATGTCCTTTGTAGGGACATGGATGAAATTGGAAATCATCATTCTCAGTAAACCATCGCAAGAACAATAAACCAAACACCACATATTCTCACTCATAGGTGGGAATTGAACAATGAGAACACACGGACACAGGAAGGGGAACACCACACTCTGGAGACTGTTGTGGGGTGGGGGGAGGGGGGAGGAATAGCACTGGGAGATATACCTATTGCTAGATGACGAGTTAGTGGGTGCAGCACACCAGCATGGCACATGTATACATATGTAACTAACGTGCTCATTGTGCACATGTATGCTAAAGCATAAAGCATAATAATAATAAATAAAAGAAGAAACTACACAGAAGCATTCTGAGAAAGTACTTTGTGATGTGTGTATTCAACTCACAGTGTTGAACCTACCTTTTGATAGAGCAGTTTTGAAACTCTCTTTTTGTAGAATCTGTAAGTGGATATTTGGAGCCCTTTGCGGCCTATGGTAGAAAAGGAAACATCTTCACATGAAAACAATACAAAAGCATTCTGAGAAACCTCTTTATGATGTGTGCATTCATCTCACAGAATTTAACCTTTCATTTGATTGAGCAATTATGAAACACTCTTTTTGTAGAATTTGCAAGTGGATATTTGGAGTACTTTGCGGCCTATCGTGGAAAAGGAAATATCTTTAGATAAAAACTACACAGAAGCATTGTGAGAAACTTCATTGTGATTTGTGCATTGATGTCACAGAGTTGAACCTTTCTTTTGATTGAGCAGTTTGGAAACACTCTTTTTGTAGAATCTGCGAGTGGATATTTGGAGCACATTGAAGCCTATGTTGGGAAAGGAAATATCTTCACATAAAAACTTCACAGAAGCATTCTGAGGAACTTCTTTGTGATGTTTGCATTAAACTCTCAGAGTTGAACCTATCTTTTGATAGAGCAGTTTTGAAACTCTCTCTTTGTAGCATCTTCCAAGTTGATATTTAGAGCCGTTTGTGGCCTAAGGTGGAAAAGGTAATATCCTCACAGAAAAACTACACAGAAGCATGGCACTAGTACCAAAACAGAGGTATTGATGAATGGAACAGAACAGGGCCCTCAGAAATAATGCCGCATATCTACAGCTATCTGATCTTTGACAAACCTGAGAAAAACAAGCAACGGGGAAGGATTCCCTATTTAAGAAATGTTGCTGGGAAAACTGGCTAGCCATATGTAGAAAGCTGAAACTGGATCCCTTCCTTACACCTTATACAAAAATTAATTCAAGAGGATTAAAGACTTAAACGTCAGACATAAAACCATAAAAAGCCTAGAAGAAAACCTAGGCCTTACCATTCAGGACATGGGTATGGGCAAGGACTTCATGTCTAAAACACCAAAAGCAATGGCAACAAACGCCAAAACTGACAAGTGGGATCTCTTTAAGCTAAAGAGCTTCTGCACAGCAAAAGAAACTACCATCAGAATGAAGAGGCAACCTACAGAATGGGAGAAAATTTTCACAACCTACTCATCTGACAAAGGGCTAATATCCAGAATCTACAATGAACTCAAACAAATTTACAAGAAAAATAAAACAACCCCATGAAAAAGACCGCAAAGGGCATGAACAGACACTTCTCAAAAGAAGACATTTATGCAGCCAAAAAACACATGAAAAAATGCTCACCATCTCTGGCCATCAGAGAAATGCAAATCAAAACCACAAGGAGATACTATCTCACACCAGTTAGTATGACAATCATTAAAATGTCAGGAAGCAACAGGTGCTGGAGAGGAGGTGGAGAAATAGGAGCACTTTTACACTGTTGGTGGGACTGTAAACTTGTTCAACCATTGTGGAAGTCAGTGTGGTGATTCCTCTGGGATCTAGAACTAGAAATACCATTTGACCCAGCCATCCCATTACTGGGTATATACCCAAAGGACTATAAATCATGCTGCTATAAAGAAACATGCACACATATGTTTTTTGTGGCATTATTCACAATAGCAAAGACCTGGAACCAACCCAAATGTCCAACAATGATAGACTGGAGTAAGAAAATGTGACACATATACACGATGGAATACTATGCAGCCATCAAAAAGGATGAGTTCATGTACTTTGTAGGGACATGGATGAAATTGGAAATCACCATTCTCAGTAAACAATCACAAGAACAATAAACCAAACACCACATATTCTCACTCATTGGTGGGTATTGAACAATAAGAACACATGGACACAGGAAGGGGAACATCACACTCTGGGGACTGTTGTGGGGTGGTTGGAGAGGGGAGGGATAAGCTTTAGGAGATATACCTAATGCTAAATGACGAGTTAATGGATGCAGCACACATGCATGGCACATGTATACATATGTAACCAAACCACATTGTGCACGTGTACCCTAAAACTTAAAGAATAATAATAATAAAATAAAATTAAAAAACTACACAGTTGCATTCTGCGAAATTTCTTTGTGATGTGGGCTTTCATCTCACAGAGTTGAAACTTACGTTTGATTGAGCAGTTTTGAAACAATCTTTTTGTAGAATCTGCAAGTGGATATTAGGAAGACTTTGAGGCCTATGGTGGAAAAGGAAGTATCTTCATATAAAAACTACACAGAAGCATTCCAAGAAACTTGTTTGTGATATGTGCATTCAACTGACAGAGTTGAACCTTTCTTTTGATTGAATAGTTTTGAAAATCCCTTTTTGTAGAATCTGCAAGTGGATATTTGGAGCGCTGTGAGGCCTATGGTGGAAAAGGAAATATCTTCACCTAAGAACTACACAGAAGCATTCTGAGAATCTCCTTTGTGATGTGTGCGTTCATCTCACAGAGTTGAACATAACTTTGATATAGCAGAGTTGAACTCTCTTTTTGTAGAATCTGCAAGTGGATAATTGGAGCCCTTTGCAGCCTATTTTGGAAAAGGAAATATCTTCACATAAAAACTACAGAGAAGCATTCTGAGAAACAACTTTGTGATGTGTGCATTCAATTCACATAGTTGAAACTAACTTTTGATAGTTTTGAAACTCTCTTTTTGTAGAATCTGGAAGTGTGTATTTAGAGCCCTTTGCAGCTTAAGGTGGAAAAGGAAATATTGTCACATAAAAACAACACAGAATCATTCTGATAAATTTCTTTCTGATGTGTACATTCATCTGACAGCGTTGAGACTTTCATTTGAGCAGTTTTGAAACACTCTTTTTGTAAAATATGCAAGTGGGTATTTGGAACTCTTTGAGGCCTATGGTGGAAAAGAAAATATCTTCACATAAAAACTACACAGAAGCAGTCTGAGAAACTTCTTTGTGAGTGTGAATTAATGTCACAGACTTGAATATTTCTTCTGATTGAGCAGACTTGAAAAACGCTTTTTGTGGAATCTCCAAGTGGATATTTGAAACACTTTGAGGCCTGTGGTGAAAAAGAAAATATCTTCACATAGTAACTACACAGAAGCATTCTGAGAAACTTCTTTGTGATTTGTGTGTTCATCTCACATAGTTGAAACTTTCTTTTGATTGAACAATTTTGAAACACTCTTTTTGTGTACTATGCCAGTGGATATTTGGAGCACTTTGAAGCCTATTGTAGAAAAGAAAATATCTTCACATAAAAACTACACAGAAGCGTTCTGAGAAACTTCTTTGGATGTGTGCATTCATCTCACAGACTTGAATATTTCTTCTGATTGAGAGAAGACTTGAAACACGCTTTTTATGGAATCTGCAAGTGGATATTTGAAGTGCTTTGAAGCCTATTGTGGAAAACAAATATCTTCACATAAAAACTACACAGAAACATTCTGAGAAACTACATTGCACTGTGTGCATTCATCTCACAGAGTTGAACTTCTCTCTCTATCGAGCAGTTTTGAAACACTCTTTTTGTAGAATCTCCAGTTGGATATTTGGAGTGCTTTGAGGACTAGTGTGGGAAAGGAGGTATCTCCACATAAAAGCCACACAGAAGCATTCTGAGAATCTTCTTCTGATGTGCGTATTCATCTCACAGAGATGAACCTTTCTTTTGTTTGAGCAGTTTCGAGACACTCTTTTTGTAGAATATGCAAGTGGGTATTTGGAGCATTTTGAGTCCTATGGTGGAAAAACAAATACCTTCACATAAAAATTAACAGAAGCATTCTGAGAAACTTCTTTGTGATGTATGCATTCATCTCACAGCGTTGAGATTTTTTTGATTGAGCAGTTTTGAATCTCCCTTTTGGTAGAATCTGCAAGTGGATATTAGGAGACCTTTGTGGCTGATGGTGGGAAAGGAAACATCTTACTATGAAAACTACACAGAAGCATACTGAGAAATGTCTTTGTGTTGTTGACATTCATCTCACAGAGTTGAAACTTTCATTAGATTGAGCAGTTTTGAAACACTCTTTTTGTAGAATCTACATGTGCCTTGAGGCCTATCATGGAAAAGGAAATGCCTTCACAGAAAAACTACACAGAAGCAGTCTCAGAAACTACTTTGTGATGTGTGCATTCATCTCACAGAGTTGAAATTTTCTTTTGATTTAACAGTTGGAAACACTGCTTTTGTAGAATCTCCAAGTGAATATTTGTAACACTTCGAGGCCTATTGTGGAAAAAGAAATATCTTCACATAAAAACTACACAGAAGCATTTTGAGAAACTTCTTTGTGATGTGTGCCTTCATCTCACAGAGGTGAACCTTTGTTTTGATTGAGCAGTTTTGAAACACTCTTTTTACAGAATCTGCAAGTGGATATTTGGAATGCTTAGAGAACTACGGTGGAAAAGAAAGTATCTTCACATAAAAACTACACAGAAGCATACTGAGAAACTACTTTTTGATGTGTGCATTCATATCACAGAGTTTAACCTTTCTTTTGACAGAGCAGTTTTGAAACTCTCTTTTTTTAAAATCTGCAAGTGGATATTTAGAGCCCTTTGTGGCCTATGGTGGAAAAGGAAATATCTTCACATAAAAACTACACAGAAGCACTCTGAGAAATTTCTTCATGATGTCTTCATTCATCTCACAGAGTTGAACCATTCTTTTGATTGAGCAGGTTTGAAACTCTCTTTTTGTAGAATCTTCAAGTGGATATTTGGAGTGCCTTGAGGCCTATGGTGGAAAAGGAAATATCTTCACTAAAAACTACACAAAACTTTCTCAGAACCTTCTTGGTGATGTGTGCATTCAACTCACAGAGTTTTACCTATCTTTTGATAGAGCAGCTTTGAAACTCTCTTCCTGTGGAATCTGCAAGTGGATATTTGGAGTCCTTTGTGGCCTACGGTGGAAAAGGAAATATCTTCACATGAAAACTACAAAGAGCATTCTGAGAAACTTCTTTGTGATGTGTGCATTCATCTCACAGAGTTGAACCTTTCTTTTGATTGAGGAGTTTTGAGACACTCTTTTTGTAAGATCTGCAAGTGGATATTTGGAGCGCTTTGAGAACTATGGTGGAAAAGGAAATATCTTCACATAAAAACCACAAAGAAGCAATCAGAGAAACTTCTTGGTGATGTATCCATTTAACTCACAGGGTTGAACATATCTTTGGTAGAGCTGTTTTGAAACTCTCTTTTGTAGAATCTGCAAGTGGATATTTGGAGCCATTAGTGGTCTATGGTGGAAAAGGAACTATCTGCAAAAAATAAAAATAAAAACTACAAAGAAGCATTTTGAGAAACTTCTTTGTGATGTGTGCATTCAACTGGCAGAGTTGAACCTATCTTTTGACACAGCACTTTTGAAACTCTCTTTTTGTAGATTTGGCAGGTGAATATTTGGAGCCCTGTGTGGCCTATGGTGGAAAAGAAAATATCTTCACCTAAACACTTCACAGAAGTATTCTAAGAAACTTCTTTGTGATGTGTGCATTCATCTCACAGATTTGGAACTTTCATTTGAATGAGCAGTTTTGAAACACTCTTTTTGTAGAATCTTCAAGTGGATATTTGGAGGGCTTCAAGGCCTAATGTTGAAAAGGAAATATCTTCACACTAAATCTACACAGAAACATTCTGAGAATCTTCTTTGTGATGTGTGCATTCATCTCATAGAATTGAACCTGTCTTTTGATTTAGCAGTTTTGAAACACTTTTTGTAGAATCTCTAAGTGGATATTTGGAGCACTTTGAGGGCTATGGTGGAGAAGGAAATATCTTCACATAAAAACTACACAGAAGCCTTCTCAGGAACTTCTTTGTGATGTGTGCATTCCACCCACAGAGTTGAGCTTATCTTCCGTTAGAGCAGTTTTGAAACTCTGTTTTTAGAATCTGCAAGTGGATATTTGGAGCCATTTGCAGCCAATGGTGGAAAAGGAAATATCTTCACATAATAACTACACAGAAGCATTCTGAGAAACGTCTTTGTGATGTGTGCATTCATCTCACAGAGTTGAACCTTCTTTTGATTGAGCAATTTTGAAACACTCTTTTTGGAGAATCTGCAAGTGGATATTTGGAGAGCTTTGAGGTCTTTGGTGGAAAAGGGAATGTCTTTACATAAAAACTAAACAGAAGCATTCTGAGAAACTTCTTTGTGATGTGTGTATGCAACTCGAACGATTGAACCTCTCTTTTGATAGAGCAGTTTTGAATCTTTTTTTTTTTGTAGAATCTGCATGTGGATATTTTGAACTGTTTGTGGCCAATTGTGGAAAAGGATATATCTTTCCATAAAAACTACACAGAAGCATTCTGGGAAACTTCTCTGTGATGTGTGCATTCATCTTACAGAATTGAAACTTTTCTTTCATTGAGCAGTTTGGAAACACTCTTTTTGTAGAATCTGCAAGTGGATATTTGGAGCCCTTTGAGGCCTATTGTGGAAAAGGAAATATCTTCACATAAAAACTACACAGAAGCATTCTCAGAAACTACTTGGTGATGAATAAATTCATCACACAGAATTGAATCTTTCTTTTGATTGAGCAGTTTGGAAACACTCTTTTTGTAGAATCTGCAAGTGGACATTTGGAGCCCTTTGAGGCCTATCATGGACAAGGAAATATCTTCACATTAAAACTACACAGAGGCACTCTCAAAAACTTCTTTGTGATGTGTGCATTCATCTCACAGAGTTGAACGTTTCTTTTGATTGAGCAGTTTTGAAACACTCTTTTTGTAGAATCTGCAAGTGTATACTTGGCGAGCTTTGTGGCCTGTGGCGGAAAATGAAATGTCTTCAAATAAAAACTAGACAGAAGGATTCTGAGAAACTTCTTTGTGATGTGTGCATTCATCACACAAAGGTGAAACTTTCCTTTAATTGAGCAGTTTACAAACACTACTTGTCTGGAGTCTGCTAGTGGATATTTGGAGCGATTTGCAGCCTATGGTGTAAAAGAAAATATCTTCACATAAAAAGTAGACAGAAGCATTCTGAGAAACTTCTTTGTGATGTGTGCATTCATCTCACAGTGTTGAAACTTTCTTTTGATTGAGCAGTTTGGAAACCCTCTTTTGGAGAATCTGTAAGTGGATATTTGGAGGGGTTTGAGGCCTATGGTGGAAAAGGAAATATCTTCACATAAAAACCAAACGAAAGCATGCAGAGACAATTCTTTGTGATGTGTGCATTCATCTCAAAGAGTTGAACATTTCTTTTGATTGAGCTGTTTTGAAACACTGTTTTTGTATAGTCTGCAATTGGATATTTGGCACAATTTGCAGCCGATAGTGTAAAGGGCAATACCTTCCTATAAAAACTAGACAGAAACGTTCCGGGAAACTTCTTTGTCATGTGTGCATTCATCACACAGAGTTGAACCTTTCTTTTTATTGAGCAGTTTGGAAACACTCTTTTTGTAGAATCTGTAAGTGGATATTTGGAGCACTTTGAGGCCTATGGTGGAAAAGAAAATATCTTCACATAAAAACTAGACAGAAGCATTATCAGAAACTTCTTTGTGATGTGTGCATTCATCTCACAGAGTTGAATCTTTCTTTTGATTGAGCAGTTTTGAAACACTCTCTTTGTAGAATCTGCCAGTAGACATTTGGGATGCCTTGCGGCCTATGGTAAAAAAGGAAATATCTTCACACAACAACAGAAGCATTCTGAGAAACTTCTTTGTGATGTATACATTCATCTCACAGAGTTAAACTTTTCTTTTGATTGAGCAGTTTTGTAACACTCTTTTGGTAGAATTTGCAAGTAGATATTTGGAGCATTTTGAGTCCCATGGAGGAAAAGGTAATATCTTCACATAAAAACTAGACAGAAACATTTTGAGAAAATTCATGATGTATGCATTCTTCTCATACATGAGTTGAACTTTCTTTTGATTAAGGAGTTTTGAAACACTCTTTGTATAGAATCTTCCTGTGGATATTTGGAGAACTTTGGGTCCTATGTTGGACAAAGAAATATCTTCATATAAAAACTACACAGAAGCATTCTGAGAAACTTCTTTATGATGTGTGCATTAAAGTCACAGAGTTGAACCTTTCTTTTGATTAATTAGTTTGGAAACACTCTTTTAGTGGAATATGTAAATGGGTATTTGGAGCGCTCTGTGGCTTATGGTGGAAAAGGAAATATCTTCACATAAAAACTTGACAAATGCATTCTGAGAAACCTCTTTCTGATGCGTGCATTCACCTCACAGAGTTCTACCTTTCTTTTGATTGAGCACTTTTGAAAAACTCTTTTGTGAAATCTGCAAGTGTGTATTTGGAGTACTTTGTGGTCTATGGTGGAAAAGGAACTATCTTCACTTAAAAACTAGGCAGAAGCATTCTGAGAAACCTCTTTGTGATGTGTGCATTCATCTCACAGAGTTGAACCTTTCTTTTAATTGAACAGTTTTGAGACACTCTTATTGTGGAATCTACAAGTGGATATATGGAGTGCTTTGAGGCTTAATGTGGAAAAGAATTATCTTCACGTGGAAAAGAATTATCTTCACATAAAAACTTCACAGAAGATTTCTGAGAAACTTCTCTGTGATGTGTGCATTCATCTCGCAGAGTTGAACCTTTCTTTTCATTGAGCAGTTCTGAAACACTGTATTTGTAGAATCTGGAAGTGGAGATTTAGAGTTCTTTGAGTCCTGTGGTGGAAAAGGAAATATCTTCACATAAAAATTAGAAGCATTCTGAGATACATCTTTGTGATGTGTGCATTCATCTCACAGAGTTGAACCTTTCTTTCAGTTGGACAGTTTTGAAACATTCTTTTTGTGGAATCTACAAGTGGATATATGGAGCGCTTTGAGGCTTATGGTGGAAAAGAATTATCTACACATAAAAAATTCACAGAAGAATTCTGAGAAACTTCTCTGTGATGTGTGCATTCATCTCACAGAGTTGAACATTTCTTTTTATTGAGCAGTTTTGAAACACACTTTTTGTGGAATCTGCAAGTGGATATTTGGAGCACTTTGTGGCCTAAGGTGGAAAAGGAAATATCTTCACATAAAAACTAGACAGAAGCATTCTGAGAAACTTCTTTTTTATGTGTGCATTCATCTCACCGAGTTGAAAATTTCTTTGATTCAGCATTTTTGAAACAGTCTTTATGTAGTTTGCAAGTGGATGTTTGGAGCACTTTGCCATCTATTGTGGAAACGGAAATATCTTCACATAGAAACTAGACAGAAGCATTCTGAGAAACTTGTTTCTCATGTGTGCATTCATCTCACAGAGTTGAATCTTTCTTTTGATTGAGCACATTGAGGCCTATGGTCGAAAAGGAAATATCTTAACATGAAAGCTAGACAGAAGCATTCTGAGAAACTACTTTGTTATGTGTGCATTCATCTCAAAGTGTTGAATCTTTCTTTTGATTGAGCAGTTTTGAAATACTCCTTTTGTCGAATGTGCAAGTGGATATTTGGAGCACTTTGCAGACTATTGTGGAAAAGGAAATATTTTCAAATAAAAACAAGACAGAAGCATTCTGAGGATCTTGTTTGTTATGTCTGCATTCAACTCACAGAGATGAAACTTTCTTTTGATTGAGCTGTTTTGAAACACTTTTTTTTTTTGTAGAATCTACAAGTGGATATTTGGAGTGCTATGTGGCCTAGGTGAAAAAGGAAATATCTTCACATAAAAACTTGACAGAAGCATTCTGAGAAACTTCTTTTTGACGTGTGCGTTAATCTCACTGAGTTGAACATTTCTTTTGATTCACCATTTTTGAAACACTCTTTTTGTAGAATCTGCAAGTGGATGTTTGGAGCACTTTGGCATCAATGGTGGAAACGGAAATATCTTCACACAGAAACTAGACAGATGCATTCTGAGAAACTTCTTTCTCATGTGTGCATTCGTCTCATAGAGTTGAACGTTTCTTTTGATTGAGCGCATTGAGGCCTATGGTGGAAAAGGAAGCATCTTCACATAAAAACTTGACAGAAGCATTCTGAGAAACTTCTTTTTGATGTGGGCCTTCATCTCACCGAGTTGAACTCTTCTTTTGATTGAGCAGTTTTGAAACCGTCCTTTTGTAGAATCTGCAAGTGTATTTTTGGAGCACCTTGTTGCCTATGGTGGAAAAGGAAATATCTTCACATAAAAACTAAACAGCA
Source organism: Homo sapiens (assembly GCF_000001405.40). NCBI lineage: Eukaryota > Metazoa > Chordata > Mammalia > Primates > Hominidae > Homo > Homo sapiens. The sequence continues at coordinate 10,227,980 of NC_000024.10, read as the reverse complement.
GCATTCTGAGAATCTTCTTTGTGATGTCTGCATTCATCTCATAGACTTGAACCTTTTTTTTTAATTGAGTAGTGTTGAAACACTCTTTTTGTACAGTCTGCAAGTGGATATTTTGTGTGATTTGTGGCCTTTACTGGAAAAGGAAATATCTTCACATAAAAACTAGATAGAAGCATTCTGAGAAACTTCTTTGGGATGTGTTCCTTCATCTCACAGAGTTGAACCTTTCTTTTAATTAAGCAGTTTTGAAACACTCTTTTTGTAGAATCTGCAGGTGGATATTTGGACTGCTTTGAGGCCTATGGTGGAAAAGGAAATATCTTCAAATAAAAATTAGACAGAAGCATCCTGAGAAATTTCTTTTTGAAGTGTGCGTTCTTTCCACGGAGTTGAACCTTTCTATTGATTGAGCAGTTTTGAAGCACTCTTTTTGTAGAATCTGTAAGTGGATATTTGGAGCACTTTGAGGCCTATGTTGGAAAAGGAAATATCTTCTCATAAAAATTAGACTGAAGGATTCTGAGAAACTTCTTTGTGATGTGTGCACTCATCTCACAGAGTTGAACGTTTCTTTTGATTGAGAAGTTTTGAAACACTCTTTTTGTAGAATCTGCATGTGGATGTTTGGAACACTTTGGGGCCCATGGTGGAAAAGGAAATATCTTCACATAAAAACTATACAGAAGCAATCTGAGATACGTCTTTGTGATGTCTGCATTCAACTCACAGAGTTGAACCTTTCCTTTGATTTATCAGTTTTGAAACACTCTTTTTGTAGTACCTTCAATTGGATATTTGGAGCGGATTGAGGCTTACGGTGGAAAAGGACATATCTTCACATACATACTAGCCCGAAGCATTGAGAAACTTATTTGTGATGAGTGTATTCAACTCACAGAGTTGAAACTTTCTTTTGATTGAGCAGTTTTGAAACACTCTTTTTGTCATATCTGCAGGTGGATATTTTTGAGAGCTTTGAGGCCTGTGGCAGAAAAGGAAATATCTTCACATAAAAATTAGACAGAAGTATTCTGAGAAACTTCTTTTTGATCTGTGCATTTATCTCACAGAGTTGAAACTTTCTTTTGATTGGGCAGTTTGGAATCAGTCTTTTTGTAGAATCTGCAAGTGGATATTTGGAGTGCTTTGAGACCTACAGTGAAAAGGAAATATCTTCACATAAAAAATAGACAGAAGCAATCTGAGAAACTTCCTTGTTATGTGTGCCTTCATTTCACAGACTTGAACCTTTGTATTGATTGGGCAGTTTGGAAACAGTCGTTTTGTAGACTCTGTAGAGGGATATTTGTCACACCATTGAGGCCTCTGGAGAAATAGGAAATATCTTCAGATAAGAACTAGACAGAAACATTCTGAGAAACTTCCTTCTGATGTGTGCATTCATCTCACAGAGTTGAACATTTCTTTTGATTGAGCAGTTTGGAAAGAGTCTTTCTGTAATATCTGCAAATGGATATTTGGAGTGCTTTGAGGCATATGTTGAAAAAGGAAATATATTCACATAAAAACTTGACAGAAGTATTCTGAGGAACTTCTTTTTTATGTGTGCATTCATTTCACAGAGTTGAACCTTCCTTTTGATTGAGCAGTTTTGAAACACTCTTCTTGTAGTATCTGCAAGTGGATATTTGTACTGTTTTGGGACCTGTAGAGGAAAAGGATATATCTTCACATAAAACCTAGAAAGAAGCATTCTGAGAAACTTCTCTGTGATTTTTGCATTCATCTCACAGAGTTGAACATTTCTTTTGATTGAGCAGTTTGGAAACCCTCTTTTTATGGAATCTGCACGTGTATATTTGGAGCCATTTGTGGCCTATAGTGGAAAAGGAAATAACTTCACATTAAAACTAGACAGAAGCATTCTTAGTAACTTCTTGTGATTTGCGCATTCATCTCACAGAGTTGAATCTTTCTTTTGATTGAGAAGTTTGGAAACAGTCCTTCTGTAGAATCCACAAGTGTATATTTCGAGTGCTTTGCAGACTACAGTGGAAAGGGAAACATCCTCACATTAAAACTAGACAGAAGCATTCTGAGAAACTTGTTTATGATGTGTGCATTCATATCACAGAGGTAAACCTTTCTTTCGATTAAGCAGTTTGGAAACCTGTCGTTTTGTACAATCTGCAAAGGGATATTTGTGAACCCATTGAGGCCTCTGGGGCAATAGGAAATATCTTCACATAAAAACTAGACAGAAACTTTCTGAGAAACTTCTTTGTGATGTGTGCATTCATCTTACAGAGTTGAACCTTTCTTTAGATTGAACAGTTTTGAATCAGTCGTTTTCTAGAATCTGCAAAGGGATATTTTAGAGCCCTTTGTGCCCTCTAGGGCAACTGAAAATAATTTCACATAAAAACTAGACAGAAACTTTTAGAGAAATTTCTTTGTGATGTGTGCCTTCTTCTTACAGAGCTGAAACTTACTTTTCACTGAGCAGTTTGGAAACAGTCTTTTTGTAGAATCCACAAATGGATATTTGGAGTGCTTTGCGGCCTCTGGTGGAAGAGGAAATATCTTCACAAAAAAACTAGAGAGAAACATTCTGAGAAACTTCTTCGAGATGTGTGCATTCAACTCACAGATTTGAAGCAATCTTCTGATTAAGCAGTTTTGAAACTTTCTTTTTGTAGCATCTACAAATGTATATTTGGAGTGCTTAGAGGCCAATATTGGAAAAGGAAATATCTTCACATAAAAACTAGACAGAAGCATTCTGAGTAGCTTCTTTGTGATGTGTGCATTCATCTGGGAGAGTTGAACCACTCTTTTGATTGAGCAGTTTGGAAACAGTCTTTCTGTAGTATCTGCATGTGGATATTTGGAGCGCTTTGTGGCCAATGCTGGAAAAGAAAATATCCTCACACAAAAACCAGACAGAAGCATTCCAAGAAACTTCTTTGTGATGTGTGCATTCATGTCACTGAGTTGAACATTTTCTTTTCATTGAACAGTTTTGAAACACTCTTCGTAGAACCTTCAAGTGTATATTTGGAGAGCTTTGCTGCCTAAAGTGGAAAAGGTAATATCTTCACATAAAACCTAGACAGAAGCATTCTGAGAAACTTCTTTGTGATGCAGGCATTCAACTCACAGAGTTAAACCTTTCTTTGGATTGAGCAGTTTTGAAACACACTTTTTGTAGAATCTTCAATGGATATTTGGAGTGCTTTGTGGCTTCAGGTGGAAAAGGAAATATCTTCACTTAGAAACTATACGGAACCATTCTGAGAAAATTATTTGTGATGTGTGCATTCAACTCACAGAGTTGAACATTTCTATTAATTGGGCAGTTTGAAAACAGACTTTTTGTAGCATCTGCAACTGGATACTTGGAGCACTTTGAGGCCTATGGTGGAAAAGGAAATATCTTCACCTAAAAACTACAGAGAAGCATTCTGAGAAACTTCTTTGTGATGTGTGCATTGAACTGTCAGAGTTGAACCTTTCTTTTGATTCAGCAGTTTTGAAACACTCTTTTTGTAGACTCTGCAAGTGGATATTTGGAGCGATTAGCAGCCTACAATGGAAAAGGAAATATCTTCACATAAAAACTAGACAGAAGCATTCTGAGAAACTTCTTTGTGATGTGTGCATTCAACTCACAGAGTTGAACAATTGCTTTGTCTGAGCAGTTTGGAAATAGTCTTTTTGTAGTATCTGTAAATCGATATTTGGAGCGCTTTAAGGCCTATGGTGGAAAAGGAAGTATCTTTACATAAAAATTAGAAGCATTCTGAGAAACTTCTTTGGGATGTGTGCATTTACCTCACAGATTTGAACATTTCTTTTGATTGAGCAGTTTTGAAACACTCTTTTTGTAGTATCTGCAAGTGGATATTTGGAGTGCTTGGCAGCCTCTAGTGGAAAAGAAAATATCTTCACATAGAAAGTAGACAGAAGCATTCTCAGGAACTTCTTTGTGATGTGGGCATTCACCTCACCGAGTTGAACCTTTCTTTTGATTGAGCAGTTTGGAAACACACTTTTTGTAGAATCTGCAAGTGGATATTTGGTGTGCTTTGGGGCCTATGGTGGAAAAGGGAATATCTTCACATAAAAACTAGACAGAAGCAATCTGAGAAACGTCTTTGTGCTGTGTGCATTCAACTCACAAAGTTGAACCTTTCTTTTCTTTGAGCAGTGTTGAAACACTCTTTTTATAGAATCTGAAATTGGATATTTGGAGAGCTTTGTGGACTCTAGTGGAAAAGTAAATATCTTCACATAAAATCTCGACAGAAGCATTCTGAGAAACTGCTTTGTGATGTGTGCATTCATCTCACCGAGTTCAAACTTTCTTTTGATTGACCAGTTTTGAAATACTCTTTTTGTAGAATCTGTAAGTGGATATTTGTTGTGATTCGAAGCCTTTGTTGGAAAAGGAATTATCTTCATGTAAAAACTAGACAGAAGCATTTTGAGAAACCTCTTAGTGATGTGTGTATTCATCTCAGAGAGTTGAACCACACTTTTGATTGAGCAGTTTGGAAACTGTCTTTTTATAGTATCTGTATGTGGATATTTGGAGTCCTTTGATGCCTATGGTGGAAAAGGAAATAACATAAAAATTAGGAGCATTCTGAGAAACTTCTTTGTGTTGTTTGAATTCATCTCACAGATTTGAACCTTTTCTTTGATTGAGCAGTTTTGAAACACTCTTTTTGTAGAATCTACAAGTGGATGTTTGGAACGCTGTGAGGCCTATGGTGGAAAAGGACATATCTTCACATAAGAACTGTAAAGCATTTTCCCTAAAAACAGCCTTGTGGTGTGTGTATTCATCTCACAGAGGTAAGCATTTATTTTCTCTGTTCAGTCTGGAAACTCTGTTCTTGTACAATCTGAAAAGGGTTATTTTTCAGCACTTTGAGGCTTATGTTGACAAAGGAAATATCTTCACATACAAAGTGTAAATAAATTTTCTGAGATACTTCTTTGTGATATGTGCATTCATCTGACATAGTTGAACCTCCTTTGATTCAGCAGTTTTGGAAACAGTATATTTGCAGAATCTGCAAATGGATATTTGTGAGCACTTTGAGGCCTATGTAGAAAAAGAAGTATCTTTACAGAAAACTATAAAGAAGGTTTCTCAGAAACTGTTTTGTGATGTCTGCTCTCATCTTACAGAGGTAATCAATGATTTTCTTTGATCAGTTGGGAAACTCTGTTGTATTAGATTCTGCTAAGGGACATTTATGAGTGTATAGAGCCCTGTGGTGAAAAAGGAATTGTCTTCGCATAAAAACTAGATAGAACCCTACTGAGAAACTTCTTGGTGATGTGTGCATTCATCTCACAGAACTGAAACTTTATTTTGATTGAGCAGTTTAGAAACATCTTTTTGTGGAATCTGTAAAGGGATATTTCTGAGCACTTTGAGGCCTATGGTGAAAGAGAAAATATCTTCACATAAAAACTAGACTAAAGAATTCTGAGCAACTGCTTTGTGAGGTATGCATTCATCCCACAGAGTTCAACAATTCTTTTGATTCAGCAGTTGGGAAACCGTCTTTTTGTGGATTCTGCAAAGGTATATTTGCGAGCATTTTGAGGTCTATGGTTAAAGGAAACATCTTCACATAAAAAGTATAAAGGTTTGCGAGAAACTTCTTTTTGATGTGTGCATTCGTGTCACAGAGTTGAACCATTCTTTGACTCAACAGTTTGGAAACAGTTTTTTTTTTAGGATCTGCAAAGGGATATTTTTGAGCACTTTGAGGCCCATGGTGAAAAGGGAAACTCATTCACATAAAAACAATATAGAAGCTTTCTGAGAAACATCTTTTTATATATGCATTCATCCCACAGAGGTGAAACTTTCTTTTGATGAGCAGTTTGTGAACAGTATTTTGTAGAATGTCCAACTGGTTATTAGCGCTTTGTGTCCTATGTTGAAAAAGGAATTATCTTTACATAAATACTAGACAGAATATTTCTGATAAACTGTTTTGTGATGTGTGCCTTCATCTCACAGAAGTAACCGTTTCTCCTCATTTAGCAGATTGGAAATTCTGTTCTTGAAAATCTGCAAAGGGATATTTGTCAGTGCTTTGAGGCATATGGTGAAAAAGGAATTATCTTCACATAAAAACTAGACAGAAGTTTTCTGTGAAACATCTTGGAGATGTGAGAATTCCTCTCACAGAGTTAAAACATTCTTCTCTTCTTTTTTTTTTTAGATTTATTATTTTTTTAAATTATACTTTAAGTTTTAGGGTACATGTGCACATTGTGCAGGTTAGTTACATATGTATACATGTGCCATGCTGGTGCGCTGCACCCACTAACGTGTCATCTAGCATTAGGTAATATCTCCGAATGCTATCCCTCCCCCCTCTCCCGACCCCACCACAGTCCCCAGAGTGTGATATTCCCCTTCCTGTGTCCATGTGATCTCATTGTTCAATTCCCACCTATGAGTGAGAATATGCGGTGTTTGGTTTTTTGTTCTTGCGATAGTTTACTGAGAATGATGGTTTCCAATTTCATCCATGTCCCTACAAAAGACATGAACTCATTATTTTTTATGGCTGCATAGTATTCCATGGTGTATATGTGCTACATTTTCTTAATCCAGTCTATCATTGTTGGACATTTGGGTTGGTTCCAAGTCTTTGCTATTGTGAATAATGCCGCAATAAACGTACGTGTGCATGTGTCTTTATAGCAGCATGATTTATAGTCATTTGGGTATATACCCAGTAATGGGATGGCTGGGTCAAATGGTATTTCTAGTTCTGGATCCCTGAGGAATTGCCACACCAACTTCCACAATGGTTGAACTAGTTTACAGTCCCACCAACAGTGTAAAAGTGTTCCTATTTCTCCACATCCTCTCCAGCACCTGTTGTTTCCTGACTTTTTAATGATTGCCATTCTAACTGGTGTGAGATGGTATCTCATAGTGGTTTTGATTTGCATTTCTCTGATGGCCAGTGATGATGAGCATTTTTTCATGTGTTTTTTGGCTGCATAAATGTCTTCTTTTGAGAAGTGTCTGATCATGTCCTTCGCCCACTTTTGGATGGGGTTGTTTGTTTTTTTCTTGTAAATTTCTTTGAGTTCATTGTAGATTCTGGATATTAGCCCTTTGTCAGATGAGTAGGTTGCGAAAATTTTCTCCCATGTTGTAGGTTGCCTGTTCACTCTGATGGTAGTTTCTTTTGCTGTGCAGAAGCTCTTTAGTTTAATTAGATCCCATTTGTCAATTTTGGCTTTTGTTGCCATTGCTTTTGGTGTTTTAGACATGAAGTCCTTGCCCACGCCTATGTCCTGAATGGTAATGCCTAGGTTTTCTTCTAGGGTTTTTATGGTTTTAGGTCTAACGTTTAAATCTTTAATCCATCTTGAATTGATTTTTGTATAAGGTGTAAGGAAGGGATCCAGTTTCAGCTTTCTACATATGGCTAGCCGGTTTTCCCAGCACCATTTATTAAATAGGGAATCCTTTCCCCATTGCTTGTTTTTTTCAGGTTTGTCAAAGATCAGATAGTTGTAGATATGTGGCATTATTTCTGAGGGCTCTGTTCTGTTCCATTGATCTATATCTCTGTTTTGGTACCAGTACCGTGCTGTTTTGGTTACTGTAGCCTTGTAGTATAGTTTGAAGTCAGGTAGTGTGATGCCTCCAGCTTTGTTCTTTTGGCTTAGGATTGACTTGGCGATGCGGGCTCTTTTTTGGTTCCATATGAACTTTAAAGTAGGACCTCTTCAAGGAGAATTACAAACCACTGCTCAAGGAAATAAAAGAGGACACAAACAAATGGAAGAACATTCCATGCTCATGGGTAGGAAGAATCAATATCGTGAAAATGGCCATACTGCCCAAGATAATTTACAGATTCAATAAAACATTCTTCTCATTGAGCAGTTTGTAAACAGTATTTTTTTAGAATCTGCAAAGGGATACGTGTGATGCTTTGAAGCCTATGGTAAAAAAGGCAATATTTTCACAAGAAAACTAGAAAGAAGCTTTCTGAGAAACCTCCTTGTGATGTGTGCATTCATCTCACAGATTTGAACCTTTCTATGGATTGAGAAATTTGGATACAGTATTTTTGTAGAATCTGTGAAGACATATTTTTGAGAGCTATGAGGCCTATGATGAAATAGGAAATATCTTTACATAAAAACTAGACAGAAGCTTTCCGAGAAACTTCTTTGTGATGTGTGCATTCATCTCATAGAGTTCAACCATTCTTTTGATTGAACACTTTGGAAACGGTCTTTTTTAGAATCTACAAAGGGATATTTATGAGTGCTTTGAGGCCAATGGTGAAAAAGGAAATATATTCACATAAAAAATATAAAAAAGTTTTCTCAGAAACAGCTTTGTGACGTATGTACTCATCTCACTGAGGTAAAGGTTTCTTTTCTCTGGTCAGTCTGGAAACTGTTCTTGTAGAGTCTGCAAAGGGATATTTGTGAGTGCTTTGAGGCCTATGGTGAAAAAGGAAATAGCTTCACATAAAAATTAGTGAGAGGCTTTCTGAGAAACCTCTTTGTGATGTGGGCATTCATCTCACAAAGATGAAACTTACTTTTGATTGAGCAGTATGGAAATGGTCTGTTTGTGGAAACTGCAAAGGGATATTTATGAGCGCTTTGAGGCCAATGGTGAAAAAGGAAATGTATTCATATAAAAGGTATAAAGAAGGTTTCTTAGAAACAGCTTTGTGATGTGTGCATTGATCTCACAGAAGTAAACGTTTATTTTCTCTGATCAGTCTGGAAACTCTCTTCTTATAGAATCTGCAAAGGGATATTTGTGAGTGCTTTGAGGCCTATGGTGAAAAAGGAAATATCTTCACATAAAAACTAGACAGAAGCTTTCTTAGTGGCTTCTTTGTGATGTGTGCAATCATCTCACAGAGTTGAACATTTCTTCTGATTTAGCAAATTGGAAAAAGTATTTTTATAGAATCTGCAAAGGGATATTTATGAGCATTTTGAGGCCTATGGTGAAAAAGCAAGTAACTTCACATAAAATCTAGACAGAAGCATTCTGAGAAACTTCTTTGTGATGTGTGCATTCATCACACAGAGATGAACTTTGTTTTGATTGGGCAGTTTGGAAATAGTCTTTTTGTCGAATCTGCAAATGGATATTTGGAGCACTTTGAGGCCTATGGTGAAAAAGGAAATATATTCACATAAAAACTAGACTGAAGGATTCTGAGAAACTCCTTTGAGATGTGTGCATTCATCTCACAGTGTTCAATAATTCTTTTTATTAAGTGGTTTGGAAACAGTATTTTTGTAGAATATGCAAAGGGATATTTGTGAGTGATTTGAGGTGAGACCTATGGTGAAAAAGGAAATATCTTCACAGAAAATCTATAAAGAAAGTTTCTGAGAAACTTTTTGTGATGTGTGCATTCATCTCACAGAGTTGAAACATTCTTTGGGTTGAGCACTTTGGAAACAGTCTTTTTGTACAGTCTGCAAAGGGATATTTAGGAGCACATTGAGGCTTATGGTGAAAAAGGAAATATCTTCACATAAAAACTAGAAAGAAGCATTCTGAGAAGCTGCTTTAAGCTATGTGTATTCATCTCACAGAGATAAACGTTTCTTTTCATTGAGCAGTTTGTAAACTCTGTTATTCTAGAACCTACAAAGGGATATTTTTGAGTGCTTTGAGACCCATAAGGAAAAAGGAACTATCTTCACATAAAAAACAGAAGTTTGCTGAGAAACTACTTTCTGATGTGCGCATTCACCTAACAGAGTTGAAACTTTCTTTTGATTGAGCAATTTGGCAACAGTTTTTTTTTTTTTTTGTAGATTCTGCAAAGTGTATTTTGGAGTGCATTGAGGCCTATGTTCAAAAAGGGACTGTCTTCACATAAAAACGAGAAGGAAGTTTTCTGAGAAACTTCTTTGTAATGTGCACATTGGTCTCACAGGGTGGAACCATTCTGTTTATTGAGCAGTTTGGAAACAGTCTTTTCATAGAATCTGCAAAGGGATATCTGGGAGCGCATTGAGGCATATGTTGAAAAAGGAAATATCTTCGCATAAAAAGTAGAAAGAAATTTTCTGAGTAACTCCTTTGTGACGTGCACATTCATCACACAGAAGAAAAAGTTTCTTCCCATTGAGCAGTTAGTTTTTATGTGAAGATATTTCCGTTTTCACCATAGACCTCAAACCACCTACATATATCCCTTTGCAGATTCTACAAAAAGACTGTTTCCAAATGGCTCAAAGAAAGCTTCCACTCTGCGAGATGCACACATCACAGAGAAGTTTCTCAGAAATTTCTGTCTAGTTTTTATTTGTTAATACTCCCTTTTTCACCACAGGCCTCAAACTGCTAATAAATAACCCTTTGCATATTCTACAAAGAGACTGTTTCCAAACTACTCAATCAAAAGAAAGGTTTAACTCTGTGAGGTGAATGCACACATCACAAAGAAGTTTCTCAGAAAGCTTCTGTCTAGTTTTTATTTAAAGATGTTTCCTTTTTCCATATAGGCCTCAAAGTGCTCATAAATGTCCCTTTACAGATTTTACAAAAAGACTGTTCCCAAACTGCTCAATGGAAACAAAGCTTCAACTTTTTGAGATGAATGCACACATCACAAAGAAATTTCTCAGAAAGCTTCTGTCCAGTTTTTAAGTGAAGATATTTCTTTTTTCACCGTAAGTCTCAAAGCATTCAAATTATCACTTTGCAGAGTCTACTAAAAGACATTTTCCAACCTGCTCTATCTAAAGAGAGGTTCAAAGTTGTGAGAAGAATGCACAAATCACAAAGAAGTTTCTCAGAATGTTTCTGTCTAGTTTTTATATGAAGACATTTCCTTTTTCACCATAGGCCAAAAAAGGATCCCAAATATCCCTTTGAACATTCTACAAAAGAACTCTTTCAAAATTGCTCAATCCAAAGACAGGCTCAACTCTTTGGGATGAATGCATACATCACAACGAAGTTTCTCAGAAAGCTTCTGTCTAGTTTTTATGTGAAGATATTTCTTTTTTCACCATAGGCTTCAAAGGGCTCACAAATATCGCAAAACAAATCCTACAAAAGGACTCTATCCAAACTGGTCAATGAAAAGAACATTTCAAATCTGTGAGATGAATGAGCACATCACAAAGAATTTTCTCAGAGAGCTTCTTTCTAGTTTTTATGTGAAGATATTTCCATTTTCACCATAGACCTGAAACCGCCTACATATATCCCTTTGCAGATTCTACGAAAAGATTGTTTCCAAACTGCTCAATCAAAGAAAGCTTTCTACTCTGTGAGATGAATGCACACATCACAGAGAAGTTTCTCAGAAAGTTTCTGTCTAGTTCTTTTTTGTTGATACTCCCTTTTTCACCATAGGCCTGAAACCACTCATAAATAACCCTTTGCAGAATCTACAAAATACTGTTTCCAAACTGCTACATCAAACGAAAGCTCAGCTGTGTGTGATGAATGCACACATTACAAAGAAGTTTCTCAGAACGTTTCTGTCTAGTTTTAATGTGAAGATACTTCTTTTACACCAGAAGCCTCAAAGCATTCACAAATTTTCCTTTGCAGATTCTACGAAAAAACTGTTTCCAAACTGTTCAATCCAAAGACAGGTTCAACCCTGTGTGATGAATGCACACATCAGAAAGAACTTTATAAGAAGCCTTCTCTCTAGATATTATTTGTGGATATTTCCTTTTTCACAAGAGGCCTCAAAAATCTCACAAATATCCCTTTGCATATTCTACAAAAAGACTGTTTCCAAACTACTCAACGGAAGAAAATTCAACTCTGTGAGATGAATGCACACATCACAAAATGGTTTCTCAGAATGCTTCTGTCTAGTTTTTATATGAAGATTTCTTTTTTCACCACATGCCTCAAACTGCTCAAGCTCTGAATAGACAAATAACAGGATCTGAAATTGTGGCAATAATCAATAGCTTACCAAACAAAAAGAGTCCAGGACCAGATGGATTCACAGCCGAATTCTACAAGATGTACAAGGAGGAACTGGTACCATTCCTTCTGAAACTATTCCAATCAATAGAAAAAGAGGGAATCCTCTCTAACTCATTTTATGAGGCCAGCATCATTCTGATACCAAAGCCAGGCAGAGACACAACCAAAAAAGAGAATTTTAGACCAATATCCTTGATGAACATTGATACAAAAATCCTCAATAAAATACTGGCAAACAGAATCCAGCAGCACATCAAAAAGCTTATCCACCATGATCAAGTGGGCTTCATCCCTGAGATGCAAGCCTGGTTCAACATACAAAAATCAATTAATGTAATCCAGCAAATAAACAGAGCCAAAGACAAAAACCACATGATTATCTCAATAGATGCAGAAAAGGCCTTTGACAAAATTCAAAAAATCTTCATGCCAAAAACTCCCAATAAATTAGGTATTGATGGGACTATCTCAAAATAATAAGAGCTATCTATGACAAACCCACAGCCAATATCATACTGAGTGGACAAAAACTGGAAGCATTCCCTTTGAAAACTGGCACAAGACTGTCATGCCCTCTCTCATCACTCCTATTCAACATAGTGTTGGAAGTTCTGGCCAGGGCAATCAGGCAGGAGAAGAAAATAAAGGGCATTCAATTAGCAAAAGAGGAAGTCAAATTGTCCCTGTTTGCAGATGATGTGATTTTATATCTAGGAAACCCCATCATCTCAGCCCAAAATCTCCTTAAGCTGATAAGCAACTTCAGCAAAGTCTCAGGATACAAAATCCATGTGCAAAAATCACAAGCATTCCTATACACCAACAACAGACAAACAGAGAGCCAAATCATGAGTGAACTCCCATTCACAATTGCTTCAAAGAGAATAAAATACCTAGGAATCCAACTTACAAGGGATGTGAAGGACCTCTTCAAGGAGAACTACAAACCACTGCTCGAGGAAATAAAAGAGGATACAAACAAATGGAAGAACATTCCATGCTCATGGGTAGGAAGAATCAATATCGTGAAAATGGCCATACTGCCCAAGGTAATTTATGGATTCAATGCCATCCCCATCAAGCTACCAATGACTTTCTTCACAGAATTGCAAAGGGATATTAGAGAGCCCTTTGAGTCCTATGGTGAAACAGGAAATATCTTCATATAAAAACTAGACAGAGGCTTTCTGAGAAACTTCTTTGTGGTGTGATATTTCATTTCAGAGAGTTGAACCATTCTTTGGATTGAGCAGTTTGGAAACAGTCTTTTAGTATAATCTGCAAATGGATATTTGTTGGGCTTTGAGGCCGATGGTAAAAAAGGAAATATCTTGACATGAAAACTAGACAGATGCTTTCTGAGAAACTTTTTTTGTGATGTTTGCATTCAACTCACAGAGTTGAATCTTTCTTTTCATTGAGCAGATAGGAAATAGTGTTTTTGTTCAATATGCAAAAGGATATTTCTGAGTGGTTTGAGCCCTATGGTGAAGAAGAAATGTCTTCACATAAAAACTAGACTGAAGCATTCTGAGAAACTTATTTGTGATGTGTTCATTCATCTCACAGAGTTGAAACTTTCTTTAGATAGGGGAGCTTGGAAAGAGTCTTTTCATAAAATCTGCAAAGGGATATTTGCGAGCTCTTTGAGGCCTATGGTGAAATAGGAAATATCTTCACATAAAAACTAGACAGAAGCATTCTCATAAACTTCTTGTGATGTGTGCACTCATCTTACAGAGTTAAAACTTTCTTTTGACTGAGCAGTTTGGAAACAGTCTTTTTGTGGAATATGCAAAGGGATATTTGTGAACCTATTGAGGCCTGTGGTGAAATGGGAAATATCTTCACATAAAAACTAGACTGAAGCTTTCTGAGAAACTTCTTTGGGATGTGGGCTTTCCTCTCACAGAGTTGAAACTTTCTTTTGATTGAGCAGTTGGGAAGCTGTTTTTTTATAGAATCTGGAAAGGGATATTTGTGAGCCCTTTAAGGTCTATGGTGAAATGGGAAATATCTTCACATAAAAGCTAGACAGAAACTTTCTGAGAAACTTCTTTGTGATGTGTTATTTAATCTCACAGAGTTGAACCTTTCTTTTGATTGAGCAGTTTGGAAACAGTCTTTTTGCAGAGTCTGCAAATGGATATTTGGAGCACATTGAGCCAAGGGTGAAATAGGAAATGGCTTCACATAAAAACTAGACAGAAGCTTTCTGATAAACTTCTTTGTGATGTGTGCATTTATCTCACACAGTTGAACTTTTCTTTGATTTAGCAGTTTGGAAACAGTCTTTTTGTAGAATATGCAAGTGGATATTTGCAGCACTTTGAGGCCCATGGTGAAAAAGAATATCTTCCCATAAAAATTAGACAGAAGCTTTCTAAGAAAATTATTTGAGATGTGTGCATTCATATCACAGAGTTGAACCTTTCTTTTGATTGAGCAGTTTGGAAACAGTCTATTCATAGAATATGCAAATAGATATTTGTAGCACTTTTAGGCCAGTGGTGAAAAAATTTCTCTCACGGAGTTGAAACTTTCTTTTGATTGAACAGTTTTGAAACAGTCTTTTTGTAGAATCTGCAAGGGATAATTCTGAGCCCATTGAGGCCTATTCTGAAAAAGGAAATATCTACACATAAAATCAGACAGAAGTTTTCTGAGAAACTTCTTTGTGATGTGTGCTTTCATATTACAGAGTTGAACCTTTCTTTTGATTGAGCAGTTTGGAAACAATCTTTTTGTAGAATCTGCAAATAGATAGTTTTGAGCAATTTGAGGCCTATGGAGAAAAAGGAAATATCTTCACATAAAAACTAGACCAATGTTTCTGAGAAACTTCTTTGTGATGTGTGCTTTCATCTCATAGAGTTGAACCTTTCTTTTGATTGAGCAGTTTGGAAAAAATCGTTTAGCAGAATGTGCAATTGGATATTTGGAGCACTTTGAGGCCTATGGTGAACAAGGAAATATCTTCACATAAAAACTAGACAAAATCTTTCTAAGAAACTTCTTCATGATGTGTGCATTCATCTCACAGATTTCAACATTTGTTTGGTTTGAGTAGTTTGGAAAAAGTCTTTTTGAAGGATCTGTAGAGGGATATTCGTGTGCGGTTTGAGGCCTCTTGAGGAAAAGGATATATTCACATAAAAACCGGATAGAAGCATTGTGAGGAACTTCTTTGTGATGTGTACATTCGTTTCACAGTGTTGAACTTTTCTTTTGATTTAACAGTTTGGAAACAGTCTTTTCCTAGAAACTGCGAAGTGATATTTGTGAGCCCTTTGAGGCCTATGGTGAAATAGGAAATATCTTCACATAAAAACTAGACAGAAGCTTTCTGAGTATCTTCTTTTGTGATGTTTGATTTCATCTCACAGAGTTGAAACTTCCTTTTGATTGAGTAGTTTGGAAACAGTCTTTTTGTACAATCTGCATAGAAATATTGTGAGTAGATTGAGGCCTATGGTGATAAAGGAAATATCTTCACATAAAAACTAATTAGAAGCTTTTTGAGAAACTTCTTTTTGATGTTTGCATTCGTGTCACAGAGTTGAACCTTTCTTTTCATTGAGCAGTTTGGAAACAGTCTTCTTATACTTTCTGCAATGGGATATTTCTGAGTGATTTGAGGCCTATGCTGAAAAATAAATACCTTCACATAAAAACTAGACAGAAGAATTCTGACAAACTTCTTTTTGATGTGTGCTTTCATCTCACACAGTTGAAATTTCCTTTGATTGAGCAGTTTGGAAACAGATTTTTTGTTGAATCCACAGAAGGATATTTTTGAGTGGTTTGAGCCCTATGCTGAAAAAGAAATATGTTCACATAAAAACTAGATGGAAGATTTCTGAGAAACTTCTTTGGATGTGTGCATTCGTATCACAGAATTGAAACTTTCGTTTGATTGAGCACTTTGGAAACAGTCTTTATTTAGAATCTGCAGAGGGATATTTGTGAACGGTTTGAGGCCTATGGTGAGAAAGGAAATATCTTCACATAAAAACTAGAGAGAAGCCTTCTGAGAAACTTCTTTATGATGTATGCCTTCATGTTACAGAGTTGAACCTTTCTTTTCATTGAGCAGTTTGGCAAAAGTCTTTTTGTACAATCTGCAAAGTGATTTTTGTGAACGCTTTGAGACTTGTGGTGACAAAGGAAATATCTTCACATAAAAACTAGAGAGAAATCTACTGAGAAACTTCTTTCTGATGTGTGCATTCATCACAGAGAGTTGAAAATTTCCTTTGATTGAGCAGTTTGGAAACAGTATTTTTGTAGGATCTGCCAAGGGATATTTGGAGTGGCTTGAGGCCTATGGTGAAAAAGGAAATATGCCCTAATAAAATCTAGATAGTAAAGTTCTGAGAAACTTCTTTGTGATGTGTGTATTAATCTCACAGACTTGAAACTTTGCTTTGATTGAGCAGTTTGGAAACAGTCTTTTTGTAGAATCTGCATAGGGATAGTTGTAAGCCCATTGAAGCCTGTCTTGAAAAAGGAATTATCTTCACATAAAAACTAGACAGAAGCTTTCTGAGAGACTACTTTGTGATGTGTGTGTTCATCTCACAGAGTTGAACCTCTCTTTTCATTGAGTAGTGTGAAAACAGTCTTTTTTAGAAACTGCAAGGAATATTTGTGAGTGGTTTGAAACCTATGGTGAAAAAAGAATTATCTACTAATAAAATATAAACAGAAGCTTTCTGAGAAACTTCTTTGTGATGTGTGCATTCATCTCATGTAGTTGAACTTTTGTTTTGATTGAGTAGTTTTTAAACAGTCTTTTTGTACAATCTGCAAAGTGATATCTGTGAAAGCTTTCAGTCTTATGGTGAGAAAGGAAATATCTTCACTTAAACCTATAAAGAAGCTTTCTGAGAAACTTCTTAAGGATGAGTACATTCATCTCACAGAGTTGAACATTTGTTTTTATTCACCAGTTCAAAAACAGTCTTTTTGTAGAATCTGTAAGGAGACATTTTTGAGCTCTTTGAGGCCTATGGTGAAAAAGCAAATATCTTTACATAAAAACTATACAGAAACTTTCTGAGAAACTTCTCTGAGATGTGTGCATTGGTCTCACAGAGTTTAACCTTTGTTTTGATTGAGTAGTTTGGAAACAGTCTTTTTGTAGAATCTGTAAAGGGATATTTGAAGGCATTTTGAGGCATATGGTGAAAAAGGAATTATCTTCACATAAAAACTAGACAGAAGCTTTCTGAGAAACTTCCTTTTGATGTGTGCATTCATCTCACAGAGTTGAAACTTTCTTTTGACTTATCGAGTTGGAAACAGTCTTTGTAGAATAGGCAAAGGGATATTTATGAGCAGTTTGAGGTCTGCAGCGAAAAAGGAGATATCTTCACATAAAACCTAGAGAGAAGCATTCTGAGAAACTTCTTTGTGATGTGTGCATTCATCTCAGAGAGTTGAACCTTTCTTTTCATTCAGCAGTTTGGAAACCGTCTTTTTGTAGAATCTGAAAAGTGATATGTTTCAGCGGTTTGAGTCCTATGGTGAAAAAGGAAATATCAAAAAACAAAATGTAGACAGCAGCTTTCTGAAAAACTTCTTTTTGATGTGTGTATTCATCTCACAGTGTTGAAACTTTCTTTTGATTGAACAGTTTGGAAACAGTCTTTTCATAGAAGCTGCAAAGAGATACTTGTGAACGCTTGGAGGCTTATGGTGAAAAAGGAAATATCTTCACATAAAAACTAGACTCATGTTTTCTGGGAAACTTCTTTATGATGGGTGTATGCATCTCAAAGAGTTGAATCTTTCTTTTGATTGAGCAGTTTGGAAACATTCTTTTTGGAGAATCTGCAAAAGGATGTTTTTTTTCTTTCTTATTTTTTTTTTTTATTATTATACTTTAAGTTTTAGGGTACATGTGCACACTGTGCAGGTTAGTTACATACGTATACATGTGCCATGCTGGTGTGCTGCACCCACTAACTCGTCAGCTATCATTAGGTCTATCTCCCAATGCTATCCCTACCCCCTCTCCCCACCCCACAACAGTCCCCAGAGTGATGTTTCCCTTCCTGTGTCCATGTGTTCTCATTGTTCAATTCCCACCTATGAGTGAGAATATGCGGTGTTTGGTTTTTTGTTCTTGCGATAGTTTACTGAGAATGATGATTTCCAATTTCATCCATGTCCCTACAAAGGACATGAACTCATCATTTTTTATGGCTACGTAGTATTCCATGGTGAATATGTGCCACATTTTCTTAATCCAGTCTATCGTTGTTGGACATTTGGGTTAGTTCCAAGTCTTTGCTATTGTGAATAATGCCGCAATAAACATACGTGTGCATGTGTCTTTATAGCAGCATGATTTATAGTCCTTTGGGTATATACCCAGTAATGGGATGGCTGGGTCAAGTGGTATTTCTAGGTCTAGATCCCTGAGGAATCGCCACACTGACTTCCACAAGGGTTGAACTAGTTTACAGTCCCACCAACAGTGTAAAAGTGTTCCTATTTCTCCACATCCTCTCCACACCCGTTGTTTCCTGACTTTTTAATGATTGCCATTCTAACTGGTGTGAGATGGTATCTCATTATGGTTTTGATTTGCATTTCTCTGATGGCCAGTGATGGTGAGCATTTTTTCATGTGTTTTTTGGCTGCATAAATGTCTTCTTTTGAGAAGTGTCTGTTCATGTCCTTTGCCTACTTTTTGATGGGGTTGTTTGTTTTTTTCTTATAAATTTGTTTGAGTTCATTGTAGAATCTGGATATTAGCCCTTTGTCAGATGAGTAGGTTGTGAAAATTTTCTCCCATTTTGTAGGTTGCCTGTTCACTCTGATGGTAGTTTCATTTGCTGTGCAGAAGCTCTTTAGTTTAATTAGATCCCGTTTGTCAATTTTTTCTTTTGTTGCCATTGCTTTTGGTGTTTTAGACATGAAGTCCTTGCCCACGCCTATGTCCTGAATGGTAATGCCTAGGTTTTCTTCTAAGGTTTTTATGGTTTTAGGTCTAACGTTTAAGTATTTAATCCATCTTGAATTGATTTTTGTATAAGATGTAAGGAAGGGATCCATTTTCAGCTTTCTACATATGGCTAGCCAGTTTTCCCAGGACCATTTATTAAATAGGGAATCCCTTCCCCATTGCTTGTTTTTCTCAGGTTTGTCAAAGATCAGATAGTTGTAGATATGCGGCGTTATTTCTGAGGCCTCTGTTCTGTTCCATTGATCTATATCTCTGTTTCGGTACCAGTACCATGCTGTTGTGGTTACTGTAGCCTTGTAGTATAGTTTGAAGGCTGGTAGCGTGATGCCTCCAGCTTTGTTCTTTTGGCTTAGGATTGACTTGGCATTGCAGGCTCTTTTTTGTTTCCATATGAACTTTAAAGTAGTTTTTTCCAATTCTGTGAAGAAAGGCATTGGTAGCTTGATGGGGATGGCATTGAATCTGTAAATTACCTTGGGCAGTATGGTCATTTTCATGATATTGATTCACATATGTATATATGTGTCTACATATACATATACATATATGTGTGTGTGTGTATATATATATATATATCTCGTATTTCCACTCACTGGAGGCCTTTGGTCTTTCAATGCTAGATTCACTGATTTCTGGTCCCATGCTTATGTTGATTACTAGCTAGTGTATGTAGACTCCTTAAATTTAAGGAGTTGAGAGAACTCTTCATATCACCAAGTTGATTTCTTTAGTCTTCTCCCTGTCAAAGACCAGGTTGCCCTAGATATCAGAGACAGCTGTTTTTTCCATAAAAAATAAAGGTCCTGTCTCCCTCTCACTAGCCACCAAGCCCAGTTTCTTGTCATGGAGGATTGCTTCATAGATAACTTTAAAACTCCAGTAATTTCTCACAAGGTTGCTGTCGACCACCTGAACATAAACTTCGTCATGGAGCCTCTGAAACCCCTGAAGCCTCAGAACGGGAAGTTTCAGAAGGCTCTTTGCACTGTTGAGGTTCTACAAAAGGACTGTTTCCAAACAGCTTAATCAAAAGAAAGGTTCAAATACATGCGATGAATGCACACATTATGAAGAAGTTTTTCAGAATGCTTCTGTCTAGTTTTTGTGTGAAGATATTTCTTTATCTCCATAGGTCTGATAACACTGATATATCCCTCTGCAGATAGTACAAAAAGACTGTTTGCAATCTGCTGAATCAAAAGAAAGCTTCTACTCTGTGAGAAGAAAGAACACATCATAAGGATGTTTCTCAGAATGCTTCTGTCTGGTTTTCTGTGAAAATATTTCCTCTTGGCCTCAAAGCACTACAGATATCCATTTGCAGATTCTACAAAAAGACATTTACAAACTGCTCAATCAAAAGTTTCAACACTGTGAGATGAATGCATGCATTACAAAGTAGTTTATCAGAAAGCTTCTGTTTAGTTTTTATGTGAAGATATTTCCTTTTTCACCATAGGCCTCAAAGCGCTTCAATTATCCATTTGCAGATTCTGCAAAAAGAGTTTTTCCAAACTGCTCAGTCAAAAGAAGTGCTCAACTCCTTGAGATGAAAGCACTCATTTAAAAGAAGTTTCTCAGAAAGCGTCTGTCTAGCTTTTATGTGAAGATATTTCCTATATCACCCATCACAAAAAAGTTTCTCAGAATGTTTCTGTGTAGTTTTTATATGAAGATATTTCCTACTTCACCATAGGCCTCAAAGGCTTCACAATTATCCCTTTGTAGATTTTACAAAAAGACTGTTTCCAAATCTTCAATCAAAGAAATGTTCGACTGTGTGAGATGAATACAAACGTCACCAAAAAGTTTCTCAGAATGCTTCCATCTAATTTTTATGTGAAGATATTTCCTTTTTCACCATAGGCCTCAAAGGGCTCCAAATATCCATTTGCAGATTGTACAAAACACTGCTTCCAACCTGCTTAATCGAAGGAAATGTTCAACTCTGTGAGATGAAAGCATAAATCACAGAGAAGTTTCTCAGAAAGCTACTGTTTAGTTTTTATATGAAGATATTTCCTATTTCACCCTAGGCCATAAAGGGCTCACAAATATACCTTTGCAGATGCTACAAAAATGCTGTTACCAAACTGCTCAATCAAAAGAAAGTTTCAACTCCGTGAGATGAATGGACACATCACAAAGTAGTTTCTAAGAATGCTTCTGTCTAGTTTTTGTGGGAAGATATTTCTTTTTCACCATAAGCCTCAAATGGCTCAGAAATATCCCTTTGCAGATTGTACAAAAAGACTGTTTCCAAACTGTTCAATGAAAAGAAAGGTTCAACCCTGTGAGATGAATTCAAACGTCCAAGAGGTTTCTCAAAATACATCTATCTAGTTTTTATGTGAAGGCATTTACTTTTTCACCACATGCCTCAAACGGCTCACAAATATTCCCTTTGCAGATTCTACAAAAAGACTGTTTCCAAACTGCTCCATGAAAAGAAAGGTTAAACTCTGTGAGATGAAAGCTCTCATCACAAAGAAGTTTCTCAGAATGCTTCTGTCTAGTTTTTATGTGAAAAGTTTCCTTTTTCACCATAGACCTAAAACTGCTTCAAATATACATTTGTGGATTCTATGAAAAGTCTATTTCTAACTGCTCAATCAAAAGAACTGTTCAACTCTGTGAGATGAATGCACACATCACAAAAAAGTTTCTCAGAAAGCTTCCATTTAGTTTTTATGTGAAGATATTTCCTTTTTTACCATGGGCCTCAAAGTGCTCCAAATATCCATTTGCAGATTCTACAAAAAGAGTATTTCCAAACTGCTCAATCAAAAGAGAGGTTCAACTCTGTGAGATGGAAGCACAGATCACAAAGAAGTTTCTTAGAAACCTTCAGTCTAGTTTTTATGGGAAGATATTTCATATTTCACCATAGACCTCAATGGGCTCAGAAATATACCTTTGCAGATTCTACAAAAGGATTGTTTCCAAACTGCTCAATCCAATGAAAGATTCAACACTGTGAGATGAATTCATACATCACAAAGAAGTTTCTCAGAAAGCTTCTGTCTAGTTTTTATGTGAATATATTTCCTTTTTCACCATAAGCCTCAAACCACTCTCAAACATCCCTCTGGAGATACTATATAAAGATTGTTTCCAAGCTGTTCAATCAAAAGAAAGGTTCAACTCTGTGTGGTAAATGCACATGTCACCAAGAAGTTTCTCAGAATGCTTCTGTCTAGTTTTTATGTGAAGATATTTCCTTTCTCAGCAAGTCTTCAAACTGCTCCAAATATCCATATGCAGATTCTACAAAAAGATGGTTTCTGATCTCCTCAATGAATAGAAAGGTTCAACTCTGTGAGATGAAAGAACACATCACAAAGAAGTTTCATAGAATGTTGCTTTCTAGTTTTTATGTGAAGATATTTCCTTTTTCACCATAGTCCTCAAAGTGCTTCAAATATCCATTTGCAGATTTTACAAAAAGTGTGTTTCCAAACTGCTCAATCAAAAGAAAGGTTCAACTCTGTGGGATGAAAACACACATCACAAAGAAGTTTCTCAGAAATCTTCTGACTAGTTTTTATGTGAAGATATTTCCTATTTCACCGTAGGCCTCAATGGGCTCACAAATATCCCTTTGCAGATTCTACAAAAGGACTGTTTTGAAACTCCTCAATCAGAAGAAAGGTTCAACTCTGTGAGATGAATGTATACATCACAAAGAAGTTTCTCAGAATGCTTCTGTCTAGTTTTTATGTGAGGATATTTCCTTTTTCACCTTAGGCCTCAAAGAGCTCCAAATATCCATTTGCATATTCTACAGAAAGACTGTTTCCAGACTCCTCAATCAAAAGGGAGGTTCAACACTGTGAGATGAAAGCACACTTCACAAAGCAGTTTCTCAGAATGCTTCTGTCTAGTTTCTATGTGAATATATTTCCTATTTCAACTTAGGCCATAAAGGGCTCACATATATCCCTCTGCAGATTCTAGAAAATTATAGAAAAGGACTCTTTCCAAACTGCTCAATCAAAAGAAAGGTTCAACTCTGTGAAATGAATGCACACATCACAAATAAGTTTCTCAGAAAGCTTCTGTCCAGTTTTTTTGTGAAGATATTTCCCTTTTCACCATACCTATCAACACGCTCAAAATATGCCTTTGCAGATTCTCTGAAAAGACTGTTTCCAAACTTCTCATTCAAAAGAATGGTTCAACTCTTTGAGATGAATGCACATATCACAAAGAAGTTTCTCTGAAATCTTCTGTCTAGTTTTTATGTGAAGATATTTCCTTTTTCACCATAGGCCTCAAGCTTCTCACAAATATCCCATTGCAGATTTTACAAGAATAGAGTTTCCAGACTCATCAAAGAATAGAAACTTTTATCTCTCTGTGTTGAATGCACACCTTGCAAAACAGCTTCTCAGAAACATTCTTATAGTTTTTATTGAAGATATTTCCTTTTTCACCATAAGGCTCAGAGAGCTGAAAAATATCCCTTTGCTGATTCTACAAAAATACTGTTTCCAAACTGCTTAATCAAAAGAATCATTCAACTCTGTGAGATGAATGCACACATAGCTAGGAATTTTCTCAGAAACTTCTGTCACGTTTTTATGCGATGATATTTCCTTTTTCACCATAGGCCTCAAACTGCTCACAAATATCCCTTTGCAGATTCTACAAGAAAAGAGCTTCCCATCTGCTACATGAAAAGAAACGTTTACCTCTGTGAGATGAATGCACACATTGCAGAGCAGTTTCTCAGAAACCTTCTGTCTAGTTTTTATGTGAAGATATTTTCTTTTTCACCATAGGCCTCAAAGCACTCACAAATATCCCCTTGCATATTCTACAAAAAGACTGTTGGTGAACTTCTCAAAGGAATGGTTCAACTCTGTGAGATGAGTGCACACATCACACAGATGTGTCTCAGAAAGCTTCTGTCTAGTTTTCATGTGAAGATATTTACTTTTTCACCATAGGCCTCAAAGTGTTCACAAATATCCCTTTGCAGATTCTTCAAAAAGACTGTTTCCAAAATGCTCAATCAATAGAAAGGTTCAACTCTGTGAGATTCATTCACACATCACAAAGTAGTTTCTCAAAAACCTTCCTTCTAGTTTTTTATGTGAAGATATTTCCTTTTTCACCATAGGCTTCAAAGCACTCACAAATATCCCTTTGCAGATTCTACAAAAAGACTGTTACCAAACTACTCAATCAAAAGAATGGTTCAACTCTGAGATGAATGCACACATCACAAAACAGTTTCTCAGAAAGCTTCTCTCTAGTTTTTATGTGAAGATATTTCCTTTTTCACCATTGGCTTCCATGTGCTCACAAATATCTCTTTGACAATTCTACAAAAATACTGTTTCCAAACTGCCCAATCCAAAGAATGCACACACAAACAGGAAGTTTCTCAGAAACTTCTGTCAAGTTTTTATGGGATGATATTTCCTTTTTCACGATAGGCCTCAAACTGCTCACAAATACCCCTTTGTGGATCCTACAAGAACAGAGTTTCCAATCTGCTCAATGAAAAGAAGCCTTTACCTCTGTGAGATGAATGCACACATCACAAAGCAGTTTCTCATAATCCTTCTTTCTAGTTTTTATGTGAAGATATTTCCTTTTTCACCATAGGCCTCAAAGCACTCACAAATATCCCTCTGCAGATTCTGCAAGAACACCATTTCCAAGCTTTTCAATCAAAAGAATGGTTTAACTCTGTGAGATGAATGCACATGTCACAAAGTAGTTTTTCAGAAAGCTTCTGTCTAGTTTTTATGTGAAGATATTTCCTTTTTCACCATAGACCTCAAAGCACTCACAAATATCACTTTGCAGATTGTACAAGAACTGAGTTTCCAGACTTATCAAAGGAATGAAACGTTTAACTCTGTGAGATGAATGCAGACATCACAAAGCAGTTTCTCCCAAACCTTCTTTAGAGTTTTTATGTGAAGGTATTTCCTTTTTCACCATGGCCTCAAAGCGCTCACAAATATCCCTTTGCTGATTCTACAACAACAGAATTTCCAAACTGTTCATAATTAGTTTTTAGGACCAACATGAGAGTTTAGACATACTGCTTGTGGTGCAGCACACATGTATTATCCACACTGAAATTAGGAATTCAACTGAAGTTCATGTGGAGGCGAAAATGTGAATATTTGGGGGACCTTGGAGATGATCTATCTCACTTTATTTTGCAGAAAAGAAAACATATTCAGGGAAAGGGCATGCATTGCCTAAGGTGATTCATCAGGTTTGGAGCAGAAACGCAAAACAGAAATACTGTTCTTTTGCTTCTCAGATCAAGAATTTTTTCACAATACTGAACTACTTATGTTCCTGATTCCTTAATTTTCTTTTTAAATTTTGCCAATATTGTCTTACAAAGATCCTATTCTTTACCCTAAAGATTTAAATCTGTTACCATTATTGTCTCTTTATAAGTAAAATTACTTGTTGTTATTATAAATGATTATTCAATCAATTTTCATTTTTTGGTGGTCCAGTACAAATTTAGTAACAAATAAACACTATTGGCCTTGACAATCCAAGAGGAGCTCAAGTCCTCCAGGGCACGTCAGGAAAAGGCTAAATGACAGCTGTGCTGTGAATGGACAGAATACAGCTCTCATACAGATTATTGCATATTTGATGTTCTTCAACAATTCCATTAATCTTCAGTTTCTTTCCTCTTTGAAGTGAAAGTCTGCTATGACTTTCAAGTTTCTTTTGAAATAACTATAGATTCACAGGAAGTTGCAAAATGTACAGGGATGTCTTAGGTACTCTTCACTAATTCCAGTGGTGGCATCTCCCATAGCCATAGAGCATTATCAAAACCTGGAAACTGACATAGGTACAATTCAGAAAGCTTACTCAGATCGCAACCGTTTTGTATGCATTCATTTTTGTATGTGTGTATGTGTGTGAGTGTGTTCTGTGCATTTTTATGTGGTGTAGATCTCTGTAACTACCACTTCCACAGTCAAGATACAGAACCGTAGCCTCACCACCAGGTTCCAACTTGCAATCTTTGCTGACACTCTGACACGTTTTCCTCCACCCCTTCCGCTTGGCAACCCCATAGTCTGTTCTCCATCTTTACAATTTTATTTCAATAATTTATATAAATGTAATTGTGCAAAATCGAATTTTTAAAGGGAAAAAACAAGTCACAGATAGTTTTGTTAGCACTGTAAAATAGTTTTTAACATTCATCTGTTTTATGTTCTATTTGTCTCAAAAAAATGTGCTTTGTTCTTTCCTGTACTTTCTGATATCAGGATAGGAAATCAATAGCAAACAAAACAATTCCATTCATTTTTTTCCACAGCTTGGTTTTCACTGATGTTGCATAACATTTATTTTTCTATTTACTCTTTTTCTCTGTTTTCCGTCACACAAAAGTAACTTTGTGTACTTTATCTCTTCTAAGAAAACTTGGTAATGAGTCTTTAATGTGAATCCCGGAGCACCCTTGTTTTGATTTTGTGTTATGGGTGTTCTTTTCTGTGATCGTTCTCATGGAGAGTTCTTGTGAAGCTGGGATTTTCCAGTGGTTTGTCAAAAAGGAAATAGATATTTAACAAACCAAACACAAAATGACCTTGCTCCAGGAATGCATCATTTGTGAGAAAACACTACATCTTCCAACTAGAGATTGTGAATATTACTCTTATTATCCTTTACTCCCTTTTATTAAAACTGTATTTTTTTACACATTTGTATAACTCAGGTAATGAAATGTGAAACTAAGTGATTGCCTACCAATTACAATTGATGTTAATGATGCTACTGGGAGGCCACCCCTACAGTGGCTGCACCAAGTCTAGGGACTTGCTAGCTTTGATAAGTTACATGGGATTGCCTATGTACTAAATGTAGGTGGGGGACGGGTCCAAGGATGTGGCAGCACCATTCCGCCCTGACATCAAAGCTCTGGACGGGGCGCCAGGCACCGCGCAGCCAAGAGCAGGAGGTGGGCACCTGATGGCATATGACACTGTAGCATCCAGGGGACCATCACCAGGGGCAAACGAACCCCGGGACCATGGCCATGAACGCTGCCAGATGGGCCGCTTGGTGGGCTTCTGGCCCCGGACACACCGCGTCACAAGCCAGGCAGGTGGGGGGCAGGCAGGAGAAGAGGACGGTGCCTGGGAGGGGTGATGGGGAGGAGGGGCACTGGAGCGGCGGTCGGCCAGTCGCCGGGCTGCCACCAGGGGTGGGCAGCAAATTGCGGCAACTGGGACACGCTCCCCCACCCTCTCCCCAGTGGACCCTTCCTACTTGCCATCCTCCCCGCCCAACAAGCCCCCACCACCGATGATGCGCAACGACAATGATGGCACAGGACCATCCACCCCACCAGCACCAACAAACCCTGCACTACGAGCTGTGTGAGGCAGGAGGGAGCCCCCGAGGGAAGAAACAGGACCGTGGTGGTGGCCACAGGAACTCGACCCCAGTGGGCTCTCTTCCCTCTCTGTTTTTGCAGGTGATGGCTCCACTCTCTCTCTCTTCCTCACAGCCAGGAGCCCCTCTTCCCCACACCACCCAACCCGTGACCACACAGGACCTGTGGTGGGGGTGGGGGGGAAGGGGCAGGCATGGCAGGAGAGGAGGGCGGATGTCGCCGGGTCTGCACTTGGGGGGATGGAGGTCCCCAGTGGGCCCTGCCATGGAACCCCCAGCCGTGCACCCCAGGGAGCCTGGGGGCACCCTCAGGGGCTAATGATTGGCAAGCAAAGCTCAGACAGGCATAGCCCTGGGAGGAACCCGGGCCGCAAGTGCGTTCGAAGTGTCGATGATCAATGTGTCCTGCAATTCACATTAATTCTCACAGCTAGCTGCATTCTTCATCAACGCAGGAGCCGAGTGATCCACCGCTAAAAGTCATACAAGGTCAATTTGGCAAGGGCGCTCCCAACAATGGGAGGCCCTCCTGGCACAGCACGTCCCCCAGAGGGGTTACCTCAGGCCGGCCAGTCAGACAGCAATGGGACGAGACTCCAGAGAGGGGTTGGAAGGTTTCACAACATGGGGAGGTGGTGCCGTCCATGGGGGTGGGAGGGACAAATGCTGACACCACCCCACGGGCTCCCTGGGGTTCCTGCCCCCACAGCACAGGGCATACGCCACATGCGTGGCACACATGCGACAGCACGATGGCCACTGTGTACAGCCCCCACCGGCATCAGCGGCGACATGCAAGTGCAGCGCGGCCCCGGCAGCTGGGGAGACGGAGTCAGCAGTGGAGGTGAGGGAGGGGCAGACCCCTCCCAAATGGACTCCCCCGTGGGCCCACAGCACCCAACCCACGGGTGGACTGATGACCCCCCCCAAGGGGTCCTTAAACCTCCGCACCAGAACGAGCTGGGTACCTGGATGGTGGAGGCGGACAAGGAGTGGGGGCTGGCGTCCAGCCCCCTACCCTCGAGAAGCCCTAGTGGGAAGGCTGGGGAGAGCCAGTGGGCCAGGCCGGGCCAGGTGGAGCGGTGTGGCAGATGCGATGATGGTGGCAGTGGCAGCGATGCGAACCTGGCCGGCCCCAATGGGAGCAGGTGGGATGGGGCCGAGCCGGCAGGACAGGGAGGGATGACAGCCCCGGCGGAGAGGACACAGAGACCCACAACTCGTCGTGATGCCAAGAACCACCCCCACGCCCGCCGACACACATGTGGGGGCCACGGCAGGGGACAGTTCCCCGCTGCTCACCAGGCCGGTGAGCCATCCAGCCCGCCCCCCGACTCGCACACACAGTTTCATCCCCGCACGTGTGTCTCTCTCTACCCTCTCTCTCCCTCCCGAGTTCTCTGGCTCTCGGGGCAGGCGGGGCCATGCAACAAACAAATGGCACAACCCCGCCAGCACACGTGCCGCATGGGGAACACAGTCGGCCAAGAAGGAAGGACGCAGTAGCGCCTCTGCAGCTTTGCTCTTCTCCGTTAATGATCCCTCGACAGGTTCAACTATGGAAATTTTGTTATGACTTTTACTTCCTCTAGATAGTCAAGTTCGACTGTCTTCTCAGTGCTCCACCAGGGCAGTGGGCTGACCCGGCGGGGCCGATCCAAGGGCCTCACTAAACCATCCAATCAGTAGTAGCGACTGGCAGTGTGTACAAAGGGTAGGGACTTCACGCAAGCCTATGACCCACACTTACTGGGAATTCGTCATTCATGGGGAATAATTGCAATCCCCGATCACCATCACCAATGGTGTTCAACAGGTTACCCGCGTCTGCCACGTAGGGTAGGCACACGCTGAGCCAGTCACTGTAGCGTGCGTGCAGCCCCAGACATCTAAGGGCATCACAGACGTGTTATTTCTCAATCTCGGGTGGCTAAATGCCACTTATCCCTCTAAGAAGTTGGGGGATGCTGACCGCTTGGGGGTCGCGTAACTAGTTAGCATGCCAGAGTCTCCTTCATTATCGGAATTAACCAGACAAATCACTCCACCAACTAAGGCCATGCACCACCACCCATGGAATCAAGAAAGACCTATCAATCTGTCAATCCTGTCCATGTCCGGGCCGGGTGAGGTTTCCCATATTGAGTCAAATTAAGCTGCAGGCTCCACTCCTGGTGGTGCCCTTCCACCAATTCCTTTAAGTTTCAGCTTTGCAACCATACTCGCCTGGGAACCCAAAAACCCAAAGACTTTGGTTTCTGGGAAGCTGCCCAGCGGGTCATGGAAATAACACCGCTGCATCACCAGTTGGCATCGTTTATGGTCGGAACAACGACGGTATCTGATCGTCTTCGAAACTCCGACTTTCGTTCTTGGTTAATGAAAACATTCTTGGCAAATGCTTTAGCTCTGGTCCGAACTGCACCAGTCCAAGAATTTCACCTCTAGTGGCACAATACGAATGCCCCCAGCCATCCCTCTTAATCATGGCCTCAGTCCTGAAAACCAACAAAAAAGAATGGCGGTTCTATTCCATCATTCCTAGCTGAGATATCTAGGTGGCTCAGGCCTGCTTTGAACAGTCTAACTTTTTCAAAGTAAACGCTTTGGGCCACGGGACACTCAGCTAAGAACATCGAGGGGGTGCTGAGAGGCAAGGGGCGGGGACGGTCCATGGCTAGCCTGCCCGCCCACTCCCAAGATCTAACTACGGGCTTTTTAACAACTTTAATATATGCTATTGGAGCTGGAATTACTGTGGCTGCTGGCACCAGACTTGCCCTCCAATGGATCCTCCTAAAGGATTTAAAGTAGACTCATTTCAATTACAGGGCCTCGAAAGAGTCCTGTATTGTTATTTTTCATCAGTACCTCCCCCGGTCGGGAGTGGGTAATTTTTGCACCTGCTGCCTTCCTTGAATGTGGTAGCTGTTTCTCAGGCTCCCTCTTCAGAGTGGAACCCTGATTCCCCATCACCCATGGTCACCGTGGTAGGCACAGCAACTACCATCGAAAGTTGATAAGGCAGATTTTTGAATGGGTCGTCGCTGCCACTGGGGGCATGCCATTGGCCTGAGGTTATCTAGTGTCACAAAAGCTGGTGGCACCTGACCCTCCGGCCGGGGCTGGAGAGGGGCTGACTGGGTTGGTTTTGATCTGATAAATGCACGCATCTTCCCCGCGAAGGGGGTCAGCGCCCTTTGGCATGTATTAGATTTAGAATTACCACAGTTTTCCAATTAGGAGAGGAGCGAGTGACCAAAAGAACCATAACTGATTTAATGAGCCATTTGCAGTTTCACTGGACCGGCCCTGCGTACTTAGACATGTATGGCTTAATCTTTGAGACAAGCATATGGTTCTGGTAGGATCAACCATGTAGGTAGAAAGCGGCCTCCGGGCCTCACGAGGATGAGCCAGGAGTCCAAGTCGTGAGGATGGGCATGGCAGGGAAGGCAACGGGGTATGTGGGAGGGAGGGAAGCAACGTGGGGCGGTGGGAGGGGGGTGGTGGTGGGGCAAACCGGACATCCCATACACCCACATGACACAACATCCCCCGACCTGCTCACCACTCCGAACCCTTCGCACCAACGTGCGAGGAGGCAGACCACCCGACCCGTGCGTGGCAGCTGTGAGTGACCAGCAGCCACTCGTGCAAGGCCGGCACGGGGCGGCCCCAACGTTTGGGCAGCGAACCACAGGCGGACTGCAGTGCCCAGGGTCTCACCACCAGCGGCCTCCGAGCACGAAGGCGACCCTGCGCGGTACCAGGAGTGGTCGACTGGCCTTCGGCGGGCCTGCGGCTCCCCCATCGCCGCCGCCGTCACGGCCAGCCCCCGGAACCCTCTTTCCTGCACGCGCCGCAGGCTGACTCCAAACCCTCCGGGCGCCCACCAGGCCCACGCGGGGCGCCGCCCACCTGGTCCCGAAGGTGCACACCCGGGGACACGAACAAAGGGCCAACCAGTGGCCCCCGGCAGCGCCCCACAAGGCAGAGCTGGGTTTGGTCCCAGAGGGGGCCACCACAGCCTAAGCGGGTGAGCCGCTCAGGGAGAGAGGATCCGCGGGTGGGGTGGGGGTCACAGACAGGAAACACCAGGGACCGCGAGGGCAAGGTCACCCGGGAGCCCACAGAGGGGCGGCTCGGGGAGAAACCTCAGGCATGGCCGGGCCACCAGGAAAACGCGACCATGGGATCCCACCACCACAGACACGAGGGAGGTCCCTCGGCAGCCCGCCTAGGACGCCAGATGGCCCTCGGCACCCACCGAGACCCGCCTCACGAGCCCTGGTTCCCGCCATCGGGACCCCAAAGCGACCTCAGCCACAAACCCAACGCCAGGGCCACGTTGCTCATTTCTCGTCCATCCTCCCACCCGGTTAAGCTCCGGGAGACCGGCGTGGCCCCCACTTGGGATGCTTCCCAGGGCCAGGTGGCCCAACCCCGTGCCACGCAAACACGGTCATCGGCACCAGTCGCTGCTCCCCAGGCGAGCGGGCGGAGAGCCGGCTCACAGTGGAGCGGGTCATGCGCCGGACGGAATGCCAGGCACAGCCACCGCTTGCATAGCCTCCCAACCGCTAGGACGCCGGCACCGACCGCTGGGATCCTCCCCCATCTGGAAAGGATGAGCCGCCCCCAGTCCCCACCGCGGAGGCCTGTGGAACCCTCCATCTCCCCCCCTCACCCCGTCGAGGGGGAAGCGGAGGAGGGTCCTCTGCAAGCGAGTCGCTATGGCAGCGCTACCATAACGCAGAGAGAGGCGGCAGGCCGGGGGATCCCGTACCCCAAATGCACACCTCTTGGATCGCTACAGAAGGCTTTCTCACTGAGGGTGGGTCACACTCCCTACCCCCAGTCGCCCCTCGTCAGGCCCGCAGAGGTGCTCAGGGACGCCTGGGGAAGGGAGGGGGCCTGCATACCAGGAAAATTCTGCGTGTGGGAACCTTGAGCCGTCGCAGTCTGGGCGGGGGTCCTGACCACTGCGCGTGCGCGCAATCCCGCAAGGGCCCCCGCCCCGTCCACCCGCCTCCTTTCTCCCAGGCAAAGCACCTCCAAGTAAACCCACACACAACCTGTCGGAGGCAGAACGGTAGCCCCCTCGGCGGCCGGCCGGCGCACGCGTCGCCTGCCCGAGCCCACCGCGATCGCTCACACAGCCAGCGCGCACCCACCAGAGGGGAGCACTGGACCTGAGTTCGCCAGACCAGGCGGAGCCCTTCCCTGCATGGGAGGGGCACGTCTCCATCTACCGCCTCAACCCCCACACCAACGAGCTCCCTTAGGACCCATTTGCAGACACCGCGGCGGTGACTGGAGGAGGGGGCGCTGGGGGTGGGAACCACACAGCACTGCTGGGCCTCAGGCACCTGAGGGATAAGCTGGAGGGGGGAAGGGGGAGCCGGGCGCGGTAGGCTCACGCCTGTCATCCCTGCCCTTTGGGAGCAAGGGAAGGTGGATCCCTCGATCCGGAGCCTTGGCAACATGGTGAAATCTCGTCTCTAAAAAAATACAAAAACTACGTGGTTTCCTAACCTGGACACAAAGTTAATAAATAGATAAATAGGCCGGGCGCGGTGGCTCACGCCTGTAATCCCAGCACTTTGGGAGGCCGAGGCGGGTGGATCACGGAGGTCAGGAGATAGAGACCATCCTGGCTACCACAAGAACCCCGTCTCTACTCAAAATACAAAAAGTTAGCCAGGTGTGGTGGCGGGCGCCTGTAGTCCCAGCTACTTGGGAGGCTGAGACAGGAGAATGGCATGAACCCGGGAGGCAGAGCTTGCAGTGAGCCGACATCATGCCACTGCACTCCAGTCTGGGCAAGAGAGCGAGACTCCATCTCAAAAAATAATAAGAAGATTAAATAGATTAAAATTGAAAATTAAAAAAAAAAAACATAGCCGGGCGGGCGCAATTGTTCACTCCTGTCATCCCAGCACTTTGGGAGGCCAAGGTGGGCAGATCACCTGAGGTTGCCAGTTTGAGACCCGCATGACCCACATAGAGAAATGTCGTCTCTACTAACAATACAAAATCAGCCGGGTGTGGTGGCACACGCCGGTAATCCCAGCTACTCAGGAGGCTGAAGCAGGAGAATTGCTTGAACATGGCAGGAGGAGGTTGCGGTGAGCCATGACGGTGCCCTTGCACTCCAGCGTGGGCAACAAGAGTGAAACTGTCCAAAAAAAATAAAATAAGTGCTGTATTCTGTAATTTTTACTTCCTACCCTGAGAAGAACATAATACAGCTGTTGTCTTTCTGCCTGCCTGCCTGCCGGCCTGTGACAGGGCCTCACTCTGTCTTTTGCCGAGACTGGAGTGCAGTGACACCATTATGGCTCACTCACTGCAGCCTCAACGTCCTCAGGGTTAGGCAATTCCTCAAGGGATCCTACAGCCTCAGCCTCCCAAAATGTTGGGAGTACAGACGTGAGCCACCAGCACCCCGCCTGAGTTAATACATCTGGTCTCACTACATCTTAACCACACACCCATGAAGAACTCAAGTCAAGAGAGAGTCTGTAAGAGACTCTCAGCATTCTCTTCTGAAAGCAGTGAGGTGGATGGCGGCCCTGTGTCCTGAGCTCCTGGGGTTTTAGGTGACCATGCATAGAGGAGAGATTTCCAGTGTTTCCAGAAAGGCACGAGCCACAGTCACTGGGGCATCCGAGCACAAGATGGGGTTTCTGACAGCGACGTAAGGGCCAGGAAGGGCCAGAATCTGCCAAGGCCCATGTCCCAGGCTGGGGCCAATGGAACCCAAGGTAGAGGGAGTCAGCAGTCCGCACAGAGAGAGCTCCAGCCCTAGGCCCCACTATGCAGACCAAATCAGAAGGAAGAGAGTCCTTCATCCTACATGCCACATCCCTCCACTGAACTTGGGAGTGCATTCGTTTTCCAAATATGAGGTGACTCTTGCTTTGCAATGGATCACAAGGGGCTGGGCTTCCCAGAGTTGGCAGGGTAAAGAAGTCATTCTGGCTTGGCCTCCCCCATCCCCTGGTAACTGGTGAGTTTATTTATTATTATTATTATTATTATACTTTAAATTTTAGGGGACATGCGCACAATGTGCAGGTTAGTTACATATGTATACATGTGCCATGCTGGTGTGCTACACCCATTAACTCGTCATCTAACACTACATATTATCTCCTAATGCTATCCCTGCCCCCCTCCCCCACCCCACAACAGTTCCCAGAGTGTGATGTTCCCCTTCCTGTGTCCATGTGTTCTCATTGTTCAATACCCACCTATGAGTGAGAACATGTGGTGTTTGGTTTTTTGTCCTTGTGATAGTTTACTGAGAATGATGATTTCCAATTTCATCCATGTCCCTACAAAGGACATGAACTCATCATTTTTTATGGCTGCATAGTATTCCACGGTGTATATGTGTCACATTTTCTTAATCCAGTCTATCATAGTTGGACATTTGAATTGGTTCCAAGTCTTTGCTATTGTGAATAGTGCCACAATAAACATACATGTGTATGTGTCTTTATAGCAGCATGATTTATAGTCCTTTGGGTATATACCCAGTAATGCGATGGCTGGGTCAAATGGTATTTCTAGTTCTAGATCCCTTTGCCATCCCCATCAAGCTACCAATGACTTTCTTCACAGAATTGGAAAAAGCTACTTTAAAGTTCATATGGACCAAAAAAGAGCCTACATCTCCAAGTCAATCCTAAGCCGAAAGAACAAAGCTGGAGGCATCACACTACCTGACTTCAAACTATACTACAAGACTACAGTAACCAAAACAGCATGGTACTGTTACCAAAACAGAGATATAGATCAATGGAACAGAACAGAGCCCTCAGAAATAATGCCACAAATCTACAACTATCTGATCTTTGACAAACCTGAGAAAAACAAGCAATGGGGAAAGGATTCCCTATTTAATAAATGGTCCTGGGAAAACTGGCTAGCCATATGTAGAAAGCTGAAACTGGATCTCTTCCTTACACCTTATACAAAAATCAATTCAAGATGGATTAAAGACTTAAATGTTAGACCTGAAACCATAAAAACACTAGAAGAAAACCTAGGTATTACCTTTCAGGACATAGGCCTGGGCAAGGACTTCATGTCTAAAACACCAAAAGCAATGGCAACAAAAGCCAAAATTGACAAATGGGATCTAATTAAACTAAAGAGCTTCTGTACAGCAAAAGAAACTACCATCAGAGTGAACAGGCAACCCACAAAACTGGTGAGTTTAAATGAGCCCAGGCTGGCCGGGCCGGAGACGCTATTGAGGGGAGGGAGGTGGGAGGGGTGGAAGGGGTACCTGAGGCACTGCAGAAATTGGGTCTGAGCCTCGAGGATGACGGTGCTGCAGGAACCCGTCCAGCCTGCTATATGGGAAGCACTAAACCACTATGCTTACCTAGATGGGGTTTTCCCCGCAGAATGCCTTTATGCAGAAGTACACTCAGAAGAAGCCTTGTTTTTACTGGCGACCTGTTCTTACTACCCAGGAAAGGCCTATAACGCATATA
This sequence comes from Homo sapiens, assembly GCF_000001405.40. Taxonomy (NCBI): domain Eukaryota; kingdom Metazoa; phylum Chordata; class Mammalia; order Primates; family Hominidae; genus Homo; species Homo sapiens. The sequence continues at coordinate 10,192,123 of NC_000024.10, read as the reverse complement.
GTCTCTTCAAAGTACACAGTTTTCCTACACCGCAATGCAAATACCTGCTTGCAAAATGTTGTGTTGATCTCAGCAAGCTTGCAGAAGGGGAACAAATCTTATCTGGTGGGGTGTTTCATAAGCAGAAAAGCCATGATGATATTGTTACCAAGTTTGGTGATTCAGCTTGCTTTCCCCTTCCATTGTTGGGACATGTATATTGCAAGACAGATCGGCTTGTCAAAGGATCAGAATACTACCAAAAGAGCCTTAGTTTAAATCCTTTCATCTGGTATCCCTTGAATCATTATGTGAAATAGATGAAAATCCATATCCTGACCAAACATTTAAATTCACATCTTTACAGAACTTTAGCAACTGTCTGCCCAACTCTTGCACAACACAAGTACCTAATCATAGTTTATGTCACAAACAGCCTGAGACCTTTCTTACGGAAACACCCCAGGACACAACTGAATTAAACAGATTGAATTTAGAATCTTCCAATTCAAAGTATTCCTTGAACACAGATTCCCCAGTGTCTTCTATTGATTCAGCTGTAATTTCACCTGATACTGTCCCACTGGGAATAGGAACTTCCATATTATCTAAACAGGTTCAAAATAAACCAAAAACTGGTCGAAGTTTATTAAGAGGACCAGCAGCTCTTAGTCCATTAACCCCAAGTTCTGGGATTTTGCCATTAGAAACCCCAAGTCCTTGAGATGGATCCTATTTCCAAAACTACACTGATACACCTTCTGTAATTGATGTGTCATCCACCGGAGACCCTTCAAAAAATCTGTTGCCAGAATCGGCCAAACTGCAGCAAAATCTGTCTTCTCACAGAGTGGAAATAGCCGAGAGGTAACTCCAATTCTTTCACAAACAGAAAGTCCTGGTCCCTAAACAAGTACAACACCTCAGGTATTGAGCCCCACTATGACATCTCCCCCAAATGCACTGCATCAAAAAAGTTCACAACTCTTTACTAGTGACAGTTCCACAACCAAGAAGAATAGGAAGAAATTAAAAATGAAGTTTCCACTTAAAATCCCAAACAGAAAAACAAAAAGTGAAACAAATAAAGGAGGAATATCTCAGCCTAATATAAATGACAGCCTGGAAATTACAAAAATGGACTCTTCCATCAACTCAGAAGGGAAAATATCCACAATCACACCTGAGATTCAGGCATTAATCTACAAAAAGCAGCAGCAGAAGGCTTGATGAGGCTTCTTCCTGAAAAGGGGAAAGGTTATTTAGCTTTGTGTTCATACCACTGCAAAGAAGCTATAAATATTTTGAGCCATCTACCTTCTCACCACTACAATTCTGGTTGCGTACTGTGCCAAATTGGAAGGGTCTATTTTGAACTTTCAGTGTACATGCAAGCTGAAAGAATATTCTCAGAGGTTAGAAGGATTGAGAATTATAGAGTCAAAGCCATGGAAATCTACTCTACAACACTTTGGCATCTTCAAAAACATGTTGCTCTTTCAGTTCTGTCAAAAGACTTAACAGACATGGATAAAAATTCACCAGAGGCCTGGTGTGCTGCAGGGAACTGTTTTAGTCTGCAACAGGAACACGATATTGCAATTAAATTCTTCCAGAGAGCTATCCAAGTGGATCCAAATTATGCTTATGCCTATACTCTATTAGGGCATGAGTTTGTCTTAACTGAAGAATGGACAAAGCATTAGCTTGTTTTTGAAATACTATCAGAGTCAATCCTAGACATTATAATATATGGTAAGTGGTAATGAAGTGTAAAGACAAAGTCTTGTTGATGGTGCTGGTAGTCAATAATTTTTTTTGTTAGATAGCTCTTTATTGTCATGAATGTGGTTACTAATACTTAGGGGTGATACATACTGTTCAATAACTTCAAACTAACATGTTTTCTTATGAAATGAATGTCTTTAACAAACTCTTAAGTTAACTAATGATAATAGAATACCAGATCCTTACACTCAACATTTTCAGTCTTCTACCAAACTTTTGCAGATACCGTAGTTGGGTTTTGTTTGTTTGCTTGTTTAGTTTTGTTAATTGATTTGCTACTTTTTCTTCGAACACAGAAATGGTGATTGGGACAAAAAGTGCTTGGGAAATTGGAAAGGAATAGCATAATTCACTTACTGGGTAATAGAAAAAAACACTGAAAAAAATCACTAGTTGCTGCTTTTTGACAGTGTTCCAGTTTATTGAGTTACTATTAAGAACTTAGTGTACCCTTTTATTTAGCAGTATCTCTATTTTACTTTTTTGTACTTGGGTATAAGTAGACACATAGGAAATTACTACCAGGTCATATTGTTATCAACTGAATAACATGAAAAATTTTGATCCTACTTCTGCCTCAACACCATACTTACTGTTGACATTTATTGTATTTTTTCTGGACTGACTTAAAAGCTTAAATATCAAGAGAATGCCAGGCACGGTGGCTCATGCCTGTCATCCCAGCACTTTGGGAGGCCGAGGCGGGTGGCTCACAAGGTCAAGAGATCAAGACCATCCTGGCCAACATGGTGAAACCCCATCTCTATTAAAAGTATAAAAATTAGCTGGGCATGGTGGTAGGTGCCTGTAGTCTCAGCTACTCAGGAGGCTGAGGCAGGAGAATCGCTTGAACCCAGGAAGTGGATGTTGCAGTGAGCCAAGATTATGCCATTGCACTCCAGCCTGGGCCACAGAGTGAGACGCTGTCTCAAGAAAAAAAAATACAATAAAATAAATAAATAAATAAATATCAAGAGAAAGTATAATTCTGAAGTCATAACTCTGTGGTAGTTTTTGTCAGATACGGTTATCTTTGGGGTTAATTATTATAGCAGTGGTTTATCACTTGATTTCCTTCTAAATCTGAAGCATTATATTACTAAAACATTTTTTGATTTGTGAATATGTTGTTTAATGGATTATATCTCATTTTACAGTAGTAGTTGCAGTGCCTGAAAGATTGCCAAAAAAAGTGCTAGCTTTTGCTAACCAATGTAACAATCAACTTGCCAATACTGCCTTCTCTTCCGATAGCTATGTTCTCCGTAATATTTTAAGAACTCAGTTCTTCATAAGACTTGTGTTGTTTTTGATTTTTTCTCAAGTCTGGTTGATCCTTGTGTTGTTCTTTTTTAAATGTGTATTGTCTGTTCAGCTATTTTGCAAGAGGCGCATTCTTAAAAAACTTAACCATATCAAAAATTGTGTTTAAAGGAGGATTATTCAGATCGGCAAGCTTTTACTAGGAGAAGTTTAAATGCTGACTTATTTAGGTAACTCTAAATACTGAGCAACTTTATTCTAACTACAAAATAGATAGACTTTCTTTTGTTTTCACTTTCATTATCATTATCACTGTGTTTAATACCTTTTCTTCATCTATAACACAATTATAATGATACACAAAGCCACTCAAATAAAGCAGATATATTTTGCTTAAAAAAAAAAAAGAAGTCATGATGTGACACACAATGAGGTGTGACTCGAATCTAGAATCTCCAGTGAAAACCGATGAAACAGGGTCAAACCCCATGTCTACTAAAAATAAAAAATGAGCCGGGCATGGTGTCACTGAGGCAGAAGAATCGCTGGAACCCAGGAGGCAGAGGTTGCAGTGAGCTGACATCACGCCACTGCACTCCAGCCGGGGGGTACAGAACAAGACTCCATCTCAGAAACAAACAAACACACAAAGACAATAAAGGTGTTTAACTCAATGTGTCAGGCTCAGGTCTCTTGACAGGATACATCCAGCACCTGGGGAAAGGTGGAGGGGTGTGGTGGAATCTATTCTGTGGCCTCAAGGAAGGGTTTGAGAGATAGCCCCGCAAACGTGATGGCCTAAGGAAGCCCCTCCGCCCAAGAAGCGATATTCATTTGCATCCTGTAGCCACCCACGAGGGAGAATCAGGCTTTCTACAGACCCCCCAACCCCCACCCCACCCCACCGCACCCCTCTGCCTCGTGAAATGAGCTCTCCCTCGGTCAGGCTCTATTAACGCCATGTGGTTTTATAACCTCCAGCGTGTGTGCCTGGGTTACAGGATGGGGTGGGGCCAGCTGTGGACAAAGGAGGTGATAAAGCGGCGGTGTCCCACGGGTGCCCGGGACGTGGGACGTGAGTGGGGTGGCCAGAGCCTAGGGAACTCATCGCCTGTCAGGACGCCTTCCCTCCTGGTCCCCTCTCTGACCTATGCTCCACATCTTTGCAGTTCAGTGGGGACCTTGTGAGTGGAAGTCGCCATCCCTTTGGACTTTAGCTGAGGACGGCAGGGCTCCCAAGAGTCTCCCTGGAGTCGGGCCCTTGGGCAGGCTCACAAGGATGCTGACAGTGATGATGACGGTGATGTAAGTTGGAGGCCTTGGGCCAATGCAGAGGTATCCATTTGACCTCAGTGGGAGAAGTCAGCTTTGCGGAGTCCCATGCTTCCTTCCAGAGACTCATCCAGCACTAGCAAGCATGGTCCCAAGGATCCCAGCTCCCAGCAGAGGCACTTTTGTTCACACAGGATCCTGGGCAGGAAAGTTCTCAGCAGGTTTAGGCCTCCTAGCCAAAAAGCCAAAGCCACCTCTGGGATTTTTTTCAAAGGGCCAGTGGTTCCACAGTGGGCTGTGGGTAGTTGTGGAAATGGAGAGAAGTGTTTGCAGATACATATTTGAGACAGAACGGACAGGGCTTGGTCACAGGTCATGTAGGACACGAGCAGATGCACATTGAGAAAACCCTCCCAGCATCCTAGGTGAACAGATATATGCCTTTTTGAGACAGTTGAGGGAGAGGCAACCCCAGATTTTAGGGTTGGATCTTTATTAATATGTAGTATCTATGAGGTTTCCAAGTCCAGAAATCAACTCACCAGTTCTGTACAGCATTCTGTAGGGAGATCATATCTGGGATGTCTAAAGTTAAGAATTCAGGCCATGGTAATGGATTAGATTAGATGTACTTGAACTTATTTTGCAAAGAAAGAGAGGGCGGGAGATAGCAAGAGCGAGAGAGTGAGCAAGAAAGAGAGAGACAGAGACAGAGAGAGACAGACAGAGAGATACAAAGATACACAAAGAGAAAAAAACAGAGAGAGAGAGAGACAGACAGACAGATAAAGACACAGAGAAAGACAGAGATGGACAGAGAGAGAAACAGAAAGAGAGATAGAGACAGAGAGAGAGACAGAGAGAGAGAGAGACAGAGAGAGACAGACAGACAGGAAGACCGACAGGCAGAGAAAGAGAGTAAGACAGAAGGCAGACACACACACAAAGAGAGAGAGACAGAGACAGATGGAGAAACAGAGAGAAAGAAAGAGACAGAGAGAGAGACAGAGAGAGAAAGACAGAGACAGACAGCGGGAGAGAGAGAAACAGACAGAAAGAGAGAGACAGAGACAGAGAGAGAAACAGACAAGGAGAGAAAGAGACAGACAGACAGACAGGCAGAGAAAGTAAGACAGAAGACAGACACAGAGAGAGAGACAGAGAGAGAGAGACAGAGAGACAGAGACAGAGAAACAGACAGGCAAAGAGAGAGAGAGAAAAAAACAAGAGAGAAAAAAACAGGGAGAGAGAGAGACAAACAGAGAGACAGGGAGAGAGAGCAAGAGAGAGAGACCAACAGACAGACAGACAGACAGGCAGAGAAAGAGAATAAGACAGAAGACAGACACAGTGAGAGAGACAGAGAGAGAGAGACAGAGACAGCGAGACAGAGAAAGAGAGATACAGACAGAAAAAGAGACAGACAGAGAAAGACAGAGATGGACAGAGAGAGACAGAGAGAAACAGAGAGAGAGAGACAGGCAGGCAGAGAAAGAGAGTAAGATAGAAGACAGACACAGTGAGAGAGACAGGCAGAGAGAGAGATAGAGACAGAGAGAAAGAAAGAGACAGACAGAGATGGAGGGAGAGAGACCGAGAGAAACAGACAGAAAGAGAGACAGAGACAGAGATGGAGAGAAACAGACACGGAGAGAGAGAGACAGTGAAAGACAGACAAGCACAGAGAGAGAGACAGACAGGCAGAGAAAGGGAGTAAGACAGAAGACAGGCACAGTGAGAGAGACAGGCAGAGAGAGAGAGAGAAATAGGCAGAGAGAGAGAGAGACAGAGAAAGAGAGAGACAGAGACAGACAGAGAGACAGAGAGAGGAGGAGGAAGGGCATGATCAGGAAATAATTACACATATTTTATAATGCTTTTGATCCCGTAAACGGTGTCTAGGGTGGTCTTTGAAAACAACAACAACAACAGCGACAAGAGCAACAGCAGCAGCAAGAGCAGCAGCAGCATTCACTTACGTATTTCCAGAAAATAAGATGCTCTGAAGTATAGTAAATATCAACCGGCTCTCACCACACGTTGAGAGATTCACAAAAGCGCTAGTTAACAACAGGAGAAAACAGCAGCTAACATGTCTTGGGGAAAATATATGTCCTCCTGAAAACTGGGGATTTCTACTTCATCTGAAAAGAAATACATACGAAAAAGGAAAAACACAAACAAAACAAAACAACAAACACGGACCAAGGCACCGTCCCTGGAAATCTTAAGTGAGCAAAGTATTAGTTTTCAGAAAGCGTTTCAATTTTGGGCAAATACTAAGAAGGTCCAGACTAGAGCTGTGACCCCATTCCCATTGTGAAACTATGCCAGCAGGAGGGCGAGAAACTAAAACATCATGATAAAAAGTGATTGAGACCCAGCCAGGGTGAAGCTTTCCTAGGGAGGGAGGCCTGAAGAAGGAAGCTGGGGAAAACCCCAAAACTGCAGACCTGCCCGCTTGCCCACACGGGTCAAGGGCTATGCCATCGGCCCAAGCTGTCTCTGGGGAAGTGGGACCGTGCCACCCCCATCTTCAAAAACCATGGCCACTGAGTGAGGCCTGACGCCCAACGTTGCAAATGTCAGCCTGGCAAGAATGAGATCTCTGGCAAGGGGTGGGAGAAGGGGAGAGAAGAGGGAGGCGCACCTGGGTGGCTCTGGAAGGTTTCCAAGCAGGGTGTTGGGAGGCGGGGGGTAGGGGTTTTGGGGGGAACCCACCTAAGTGATTCACTAAATGAAGGTAAAGGGACATAGGTAATGGGGGGAGCCAGGCAGCGACTTGAAAATTAAATTGACCCCTCCTAAAACCCAAGTAGAAGAGTCAATGCGCATGAAAGAAACCAACACACAAAGAAAACTAAAGCGCTAATCAAAGAACAATAGGGCCCCCGCCAGGGCGGAGGTTCCCTAGGCAACCAGGTAGAGAGGGAGGGGCCTCCAGAAGGGAGAGAGAGAAACCCGTTGCCCCAGGCTCGGTGAAGTCCAGGAGACCTCCCTCTGTGTCACATCGACTTTCAATAACAGTGGCCACTAAGTGATGCCTGAAGACAACCGATGCCTGCAAGTGTCAGTCAGCACGGAAAAGAATGCATTTATTTATTTATTTATTTAGAGACAGAGTCTCACTCACTCTACAGCCCGGGCTGTAGTGCAGTGGCGCGATCTCGGCTCACTGCAGCCTCTGCCTCCCAGGTTCAAGTGATTCTCCTGCCTCAGCCTCCCGAGTAGCTGGCATTACAGGCGCCTGCCCCACCGCGCCCGACTCAATTTAATATTTTTAGTAGAGATGGGGTTTTGCTGTGTTGGCAAGGCTGGTCTCGAACTCCCAACCTCAGGTGATCCACCCGCCTCGGCCTCCCAAACTGCTGTGATGACAGACGTGAGCCACTGCGCCTGGCCTTAACCATGTATTTCTAAGTCGAGGAGCTTATCAGGGAAATACAAGAAGTAGGCATGCCACACATGACAGAGAGAAAAGTTGGAAAATGCCCCTTCCATCCAAGTGAGGATCCGGCCTCGACCTCCCGAAATCATGCACCGAGTGGCGAAGTCTAGCAAGGCCCGTCTGTCTAGATTCCTCTCGGCCTCTCTAAGCAGGTGCTTCTCACTTTCTTGGAAGAGGCAGGGCCCTGCCCAGCACGGGGGCTCTGACAGACTGACAGAGAAAGAGACAGACATAGAAAGACAGAGATGGACAGAGAGAGACAGAGAGAAACAGACAGAAAGAGAGACAGACAGAGACAGAGAGAGAAACAGACAGTCAGGGAGGGAGAGAGACAGAGAGAGAGAGACAAACAGAGAGAAATAAACAGAAACAGAGAGAGAGACAGAGAAAGAGAGAGAAACAGACACACAGAGACAGAGACAGAGAGAAACAGAAAGAGAGAGAGACAGAGAGAGAGAAAGGGAGGGAGAGAGAGAGATAGACAAACAGAAAGGCAGAGAAAGAGTAAGACAGAAGACAGACACAGCGAGAGAGACAGGCAGAGAAAGAGAGAGACAGAGACAGAGAGAAAGAGAGACAGAGAAAGACAGAGATGGGCAGAAACAGAAAGAGAGAGATAGAGAAAGAGAGAAACAGACAGACAGGGAGGGAGAGAGACAGAGAGAGAGACAGACAGGCAGAGAGACAGAGACAGACAGAGAGAAACAGACAGAAAGAGAGAGACGGAGAGAGTGAGAGAGAGAGAAACAGAAAGAGAGGGGGAGATAGAGACAGACAGAGAAGGAGAGTAAGACAGAAGACAGACACAGTGAGAGAGACAGGCAGAGGGAGAGAGAGACAGAGAGAAAGAGAGAGACAGAGAGAGATGGAGAGAGAGAAACAGAGAGAAACAGAAAGAGTGAGAGACAGAGAGAGAGTGAGAGAGAGAGACAGAAAGGGAGGGAGAGGGACAGACAAAGAGAGAGACAGAAGGGTAGAGAAAGAGAGTAAGACAGAAGATAGGCACAGAGAGAGAGAGTGATAGAGACAGACAGAGAGACTCAGAAAAAGAAATAGAGAGACAAACAGAGAGACAGAGAAAAAAAGAGACAGAGAGAGACAGAGAGAAACAGAGACAGACAGAGAGAGACAGACAGAGAGAAACAGTCAGAAAGAGAGAGACAGAGAGAGAGAGAAACAGACAGGGAGGGGGAGAGATAGAGACAGACAGGCAGAGAAAGAGAGTTAGAAGACAGACACCGTGAGACAGGCAGAGAGAGACAGAGATAGAGAGAAAGAAAGAGACAGACAGACAGAGAAAGAGACAGATAGAGAAAGACAGAGATGGACAGAGAGACAGAGAGAAATACACAGAAAGAGAGGTCCTGGCCCAGTAGCAATACAGTGTCTTTTCTTTCATTTTCTCTTTCTTTTCTGGTTTTCTTTTCTTTTCTTTTCTTTTCTTTTCTTTTCTTTTCTTTTCTTTTCTTTTGTTTTCTTTTCTTTTCTTCTTTCCTTTCCTTTCCTTTCCTTTCCTTTTCTTTTCTTTCTTTCTTTTTTACATTTATTTATTTATTTGTTTGGAGACCAAGTATCACTCTGTCACCCAGGCTGTAGTGCAGTGGCGCCATCCCGGGTTACTGCAACCTCTGCCTTCCAGATTCAAGCTATTCTCCCACCTCAACCTCCTGAGTAGCTGGGATTACAGCTGTCTACCTCACCGTGCCCAGCTCAGTTTCTTATTTTCAGTAGAGACAGGATTTCCCTATGTTGTCTAGGTTGGTCTTGAACTCCTGACCTCTGAAACACCCACCTCGGCCTCCCAAAGTGCTGGGATGACAGACGTGGGCCACTGTGTTCAGTGTACAGTGCCATTTCTTAGAAATCACTTATGGGAACACACACTTATATGTCATGTGTAGAGATTTTATTTATTTATTTATTTATTTAATTAATTTATTTATTTTTTGCACCAGAAGGTGGGGGGACAGAGTTTCGGTCTTGCTGCCCAGGCTAGAGTGCAATGGCATAGGGGACTCAAGGAGTCAACCTAAGGCAGAGAGGACACGTCATTCTGAGTGTAAGGGCCACAGCGAAAAGTGTCAGGGCCCATGCTTTTAAAGGCTGAAATCCCGGCAGCTCAGGCCTGCCATCCCAGCACTTTGGGAGGCCCAGGAGGGTGGATTGCTTGAGGTCAGGAGTTCAATACCAACGTGGCCAACATGAAGAAACCCCATCTCTACTAAAAATAGAAAAAATTAGCCGGCTGTCATGGTGCGCACCTGTAATCCCAGCTACAGAAGAAGAATCATCGGAACCTGGGAAGCAGAGGTTTCAGTGAGCCGAGAGAGTGCCACTGCACCACAGCCTGGGTGACAGAGCAAGAGAAACTCAGTCAAAAAAAAAGAAAAGAAGAAGAAAAAAAAAAGAAGAGTCCCAAATACTGCATTGTCGCTGAATGTTCCCCCAAAAGGCCGGAAACCCCCTGACTCAGGTCCAGGAGGTGGTGTTTCGTTTCACTTCTCTCTCTCTTTCCCTCTCTCCCTCCCTTCTCTCTCTTTCTCCCCTAACTTTCATTTCTTGTTCAAACATACATGTGCAAGATTGTTACATAGGTAAACTTCTGACGGGGGTGTTCAGTGTGCAGATGAATTCATCAGCCGGATACTCAGCGCAGTACTCAACAGTTTTCATGTTTTTTTGTTTGTTTGTTTTTTCCTGAAGCTGTCTCTCCTTCCACCCTTCCTCCCTCAAGTAGGCTCCCGCGTCTCTGGTCCCCCTCGTTCTGCCCATGCAGAACTCTCATCTATAAGTTCCCACTTATGGATGAGAACACGTGGTATTTAGCTAATTGTTGCTTTCATCTTCGGTGGTGGCGGTGAAAGAGGCATGACACTAAATAGACCCTTAGGACTCTCCCCTCCATTCCCACCCCATACCCCCTTCCCACACACACCCTCATTCCTGCACCCCCTCCTCAAATGCAGGAAAGGAAGAAAGACAAATTAAAGTAAGAGGTAAGCCTCCAAGGCGGTGGAGTCAGGGGATCTCAAAGGGTGAGCAAGGGATGGGCGTCGGGGGATGTCTTGGCTGAGCTTGCAACAATAGGAGACCGAGTTTCCAGCCCCACCACACCCCCTAATCCTCAGCCGCAGCCAGCCTCTGGGAGGGGTTGTGCCTGCAACAGCTTCTGAAAGGAGAGAAGCCCAAGGCGATGGAAGGCATCAGCTCCAACTCCAGGAAGGAAATAAGGCTTTCTGCATTTGAATGGGGCTTTAGAAGGCGGTGCTGCGGCTTCCAAATTGATGCCCCTTGCCTCGCCTCGCCTGGACCAGAGCGAGACTCCGTCTCAAAATCAATCAATCAATCAATCAATCAGTAATAAAAAAATTCATCAATGGAAGAAAGAAAGAAAGAATTAGTACAGCGGTCATGGTCTTGAATCATTCCCCAGAGTCCAGGTGCAGTGGCTCATGCCTACCACGCCAGTACTTTGAGACGCTGGTTCAGGAGGGTTGCAACAAAATGATGAGACCCTGTCTGTGGAAAAACATATAAAAATGAAGGCCAGGTGCAGTGGCTCACGCCTGCCATCCCAGCACTTTGGGAGGCCGAGGAGGGCGGATCACCTAATGTTGGGAGTTCGAGACCAGCCTGACCAACATGGAGAAGCCCCGCCTCTACTAACAATACATAATCAGGCAGACGTGGTGGCATATGCCTGCAATCCCAGCTACTCGGGAGGTTGACGCAGGAGAATCGTTTGAACCTGGGAGGCAGAGGTTGCAGTGGGCCAAGATCGCGCCATTGCACTCCAGTCTGGGCAACAAAAGTGAAACTCTGTCTCGGGAAAATAAATAAATAAATAAATAAAAATGATCTGGGCACAGTGGCACCTGCCTGTGGTCCCAGGTACTCTAATCTGGAGGCTGAGGTGGAAGGATCACTTGAGTCCAGGAGCATCCACGCTGCAGTGAGTGAGTTATGATGGCACAACTCCCAGGGAGACAGAGCAAGACGCTGTCTCTAAATCAGTCAATCAATCAATCAGATCACTGGAAGGCGCTGTCTGTGTCTTACTTTCAAAGGGTGTCTCTTTAGGCCAAGCAGGCATGGTGCCTCACACCAGTAATCCTAGCACTTTGGGAGGCCGAGGTGGGAGGAAAGAAGGAAGGGAGGAAGGGAGGAAGGGAGAAAAGAAGGAAGGCAGGAGGCAGTCAGGCAGGAAAGAAAGAAAAAGGAAAGAAAGAAAGAGAGAAAGAAAGAAAGAAAGAAGAGAGAAGAAAAAAGAAGAGAGAAAAGAAAATAAAAGAAAATGGGGAGGGGCATATCTCCTTGATTGGTAACTACCCAGGATACAGCTGACTGAAGCCTCAACCTGTGGGGCCTCAAGTGATCTTCTCCTTAACTCAGCCTCCTGAGTAGCTGCGACTACTGGTGGGTATCAGCACACACAACTCATCTTATAACAATATTGTGATTATTATTGAGACAGAGTCTCGCTTTGTCTCAATAATTGCCATGGCACGATCTCAGCTCACTGCAATCTTGGCCCCCCTGGTTCAAGCAACTCGCCTGCCTCAGTCTCCTGAGTAGTTGTGATTACAAGCTTATGCCACCAGGCCTGGCTAATTGTTCTATATTTCATCAAGATGGGGTTTTGCTATGTTGGCCAGTCTGGTCTTGAACTCCTGGCCTCAAGTGATCCACCCGCCTTGGCCTCCCAAAGTGCTGGGATGACAGGTGGGAGACACTGTGCCCGGCCCAGATAATCTTTTTAATAATTTGTAGAGAAGAGGTTTCGTCAGCCGCTGGGTAGAGGCTGGGGTGTGTTTTACTCAGACTGCATACTGTGAAAAGGGTAAATTAGTGTGGTTTGTGAACTAGATGTGGAAATTGCCTGTGTGTGTGTGTGTGTGTGTGTGTGTGTGTGAGAGAGAGAGACCAATCCCACCGTGAGGACCTGGAAGTGGTGTTTGATTTGGGACCCTGTCTAGTCACCTCTCTGTTTGTAGATGACTGAGGATTCCACAAATGAAGTTCAGAAGTATCTATTGAGCTGTTTCTCCCTCTCATGCATCTCATCTCTGTGGTGGAGAAAGGGAAGAAAAGAGGTTCTGATGGGAAGTTGTCTTCATGCCTGAGGAAGCTGAAGGCAGGCTGACGGAAAGGAGGGCATCCTATGTGACATTTCCATACCTGGGCACCCTTTACAATGCTGGGGCTGCCAGTCCACCATGTACGTCAACCAACCCCCAAGAACAGCACAGTCCGGGGTGATCCAGTCCATCCCATCCGGCCCACCCGGGGCATCTGGTGGAAGTCTTCGCTGGAGGATTCGAAAGGAGTGTCAACGCGGTTCCCTTGGGGTCGCTGGGCAAAGGCCAGCCAGAGGAGGGTGGCGGGATGTGAAGGGGGGCGGGGCATCGGCCTCAGAGCTCTCTGGAAGGTGGTAGGCAGCTGGTGGGGGATTCTGAGCCAGAGACGTCTGGCAGGATATAGATCTGGAAGCCGCATCTGTCCTCTCGCATATCTCTCCCATGGAAAATCCCATGGCGGCGGTGGGAGCCTTGGCTGGGGGAGAAGTGGGGACAAGGAGGAGAGGGAAGGAGGCCCTAGGGAGGATTTAGCAACAAAAACCCACCCAGCCAAGCTCCCTCCCTCCTATCGGGTCCAAGGTACACCCTGGGAGGTGGCAAGAGAAACGTTCACCCCTTGCTTTTTGTCTTTCTCTTTATTTTTTTCATCTTTTCAATTTTACAAGAGATGTTCATTTCAACAACTAGATGGTGGATGTGACGGGGGAAGTTTCAAGGCCAGGAGTTTGAGAACAGCCTGAGCAACTGAGCAACAAAAGTAGGAGAGCCCAGCTGAAAAAAATGAAAAAAGAAGGAGGAGGAGGACGAAGAAAGAAAAGAAAATTAAAGAAAAGAAGAGAAAAGAAAAGAAAAGAAAAAAGAAAAACAACCACCAAGAAAGTTAAAATTCTCCAATGGTACAGGCACAAAAAAGAGCAATTTCACGTCTTTTCCCACAACATGGATAGAGCTGGAAGCAAGTATGTACCCAGTGAACTGCCTTCTGCTTACAAGTGGGAGGTAAACAGTGGGTACGCACATGGTCATCAAGATGGAAATAACAGACACTCCAAAAGGGAGGAGGAGGGTAGGAAGGGGACGAGGAATGAATAAATCACCCGTCGGAGACAACGTTCACCACGTGGGTATTGGATACACTGGAGGTCCACTTCTACAACTGGAGGCAGTAGTATGCCGATCTAACAAACAAGCACGTACACCTCCTGAGTCTGTAAAATACCAAAACAATGATGACAGGACCAGCAGCAGCAGCAGCAACAACAACAACAAAACAGAAGCTGGAACACAAAACCACCACCACCACCAGAATCACCAGTTGGGGGTTGGGGGAGGGTGGCCATGCTCGAGGCCCTCAAGCTGAGTCCCCTCAGGTTTAAAAAAGAAAACAGCAGACTCATTCCTGTCTGTAGGCAGGAAACATCCAATCAAAGTTCTCCATTGCTAGAAAGGGAAGTAGAATAAGGAGAAGGGCTTATTGATCTTCTTGTGATCTATCGAGACCATACATGTAGTAAAAAATTAAATTCAAACAGCAATACTTTCTACACTGTTCAAAAGCATCGAAGATCGGACGCACCACACTCCATGGGGCTTGTGCCACTAGAAAGAAAAGGCAGGCCAGGTGCGGTGACTCACGCCTGTCATCCCAGCACTTTAGGAGGCCGAGGCGGGCAGATCACGAGGTCAGCAGATCGAGACCATCCTGGCTAACATGGTGAAACCCGGTCTCTACTAAAAATACAAAAAATTAGCCGGGCCTGGTTTGGGCACCTGTAGTCCCAGCTACTCAGGAGGCTGAGGCAGGAGGATGGCATGAAACCAGGAGGCAGAGCTTGCAGTGAGCCGAGATAACCACTGCACTCTGGCCTGAGCGAAAGAGTGAGACTCTGTCTCAAAAAAAAAAAAAAAAAAAAAAAAAAATAGCCAGACATAGTGCTGCATGCCTGTAGTCCCAGCTACTCAGGAGGCTGTGGTAGAACAGTCACTTGACCCAGCTGTTTGAGGCTGCAGTGAGCTATGATCATGCCACTGCACTCTGGCCTGGGTGACAGAGTGAAACCCCATCTCAAAACAAAGAACAACCAAAAACCTACAAGCATACTCAGAGATAGTGTGGGTTTCGTTCCAGACAACCACAATAAGGCAAATGTTACAATCAAGTTAGTCACATTAACATTTTGTTTCCCAGTGTTTATAAAAGTTATGCTTAAACTATGTTGTAGTCTAATGAGTATTTAATAATTATTAATTAATTAATTAGTAATCACATTATGTCTAAAAAACTATGTACATACCTTAACTTAAAATACCTTATTGCTGAAAAATACTAATGAATATCTGAGCTTTACCAAGTCATAATCTTTTTGCTGGTGAGTGAAGGGGTGGCCTACCCTTCCCGACTTGTGGGTATTTCTAGTCAGGTGGGATGAGAGACTGAGAAAAGAATTAAGACACAGAGAAAAAGTATAGAGAAACAACAGTAGGCCCAGGGGACTGGCACTCAGCATACACCAAGGACCTGAACCAGCGCCGGCCTCTGAGATCCCTCAGTTTTTATTGGTTATTATTTTTATTATTTCAGCAAAAGGGAATGTAGTAGGAGAGCAGGGTGATAATAAGGAGAAGGTCAGCAAAAAACACAGGAGCAAAAAAATCTATGTCATAATTAAGTTCAAGGGAAGGTACTATGACTGGACGTGCATGTAAGCCAGATTTATGTTTCTTTCCACCCAAACATCTCAGTGGAATAAAGAATAACAAACCAGCATTACTGCAAACATGTCTCACCTCCCACAATAGGGCAGTGTTTCTCCTATCTCAGAATTGAACAAATGTACAATCGGGTTTTATACTGAGACATTCAATTCCCAGGGGCAGCGAAGAGACAGTGGCCTTCCTCTATCTCAACTGCAAGAGGCTTTCCTCTTTTACTAATCCACCTCAGCACAGACCCTTTACGGGTGTCGGGCTGGGGGACAGTCAGGTCTTTCTCATCCCACGAGGTCATATTTCAGACTATCACATGGGGAGAAAACTTAGACAATACCCTGCTTTCAAGGGCAGAGGTCCCTGCGGCTTTCTGCAGTGCATTGTGCCCCTCGTTTGTTGAGACTAGAGAATGGCAATGACTTTTACCAAGTACACTGCTTGTAAACATTTTGTTAACAAGGCATATCCTGCACAGCCCTAGATCCCTTAAACCTTGATTTCATACAACACATGTTTTTGTGAGCTCCACGTTGGGTCAAAGTGGCTGGGGCAAAGCAGCACAACCTTTCCCAGATCCGGCGCCACTGGGGGAGCTGAAGGACGTGGAAGAGCCCACTCCGCTAGAACCATTCCTCAGCCAGGAAGAACACTTGGCTGTGCTGGAGGAGCTTTAGGACGCGGGGTTGGGGCGGGGTAGGGGCAGTGCGAAGGCCTCTCTTTTGCGGTGAACCTCTCACTCGATATGGAGAGGCGTGTCTTCCCTTCCAGCTGACCTGCCTAGGGTCCCTGAGTTCCAGGTCCCATGAGGGACTCCACTCAGAGGCAGGCTGTCATTCTTTTCTGAGCATCCCGGGGATCCCAGGGCCTGTCCAGGTACTGGGAGGCGGACTGTCTACTGCTCATGCGCGGGTTAGCAGGCAGCAGCCTAGGTTTTCTAACTAGCCTAGGTAGAGCTCTCATCCCTTCCCTCTTGCCCCCCACCTCGTTCTTCAGTGGGGCGGGCGGAGACCTCCATCCCGGGAAACACTGGCACGGGCAGACGCCAGGCCTGCTCTTCCTTCCGTGTCTCGAAACCTCTGCCTCCCCTCCCCACCGTCACTAGCCTACCCTTGCCCCGCTAGCTTCCTCGGCATCACCGTGGAGCGCCTGACAGCTAAATGCAGACCAGAGACCCCGCCCAAGCCGGGGTGCTGCCCTTTCTATGCGGGAGAGAATTCACGCAGAGATGGAGAGATGAACGGAGACAGAGAGAGAGGGAGCGATGGAGGGAGGAAAGAACGGATGGACCGAGGGACCTTGGAAAGGATGGAGGGATAGAAGGAAGGAGACAGGGACGGAGGGAGGGAGGAAGGGAGGAAGGGAGGAACTGAGGGAGGGACGGAGGGAAAGAGGGAGGGAGGGAGCAAGAAACAGAGAGAGGAAGGCAGAGAGAAAAGCAGTCTTCTGCCTCCAGGACCAGCAGGATCTCGCACTCCGGAAAATGTTGGGTGCCCAGTGCAGGCTAAGTGCTCGGCCCACAGCCGCGTCGGCCTGTGGGGCTCTCACTGGCCCTCTGGATCGCCAGCCTGGGTTACTTCATCCGGGAGCGATTCAGAAGAATTTCCTCTCCCAAGGAATGAGGGAATTGCCCAGAGAGCAATGAGCCGAGACTCGGGTGATTGTCCATTTTTCATCCACATGGTTCACAGATGAGATAGCCCCACGTTGAGCCTGCAACGGATCGCGAGGTGGATAGTCCCGTCCACATAGGAGTCACATTCTGGCCGACTGAAGCGTGGTTTTGGGTTCCACATTCCTTTGCCTTCTGCAAGGGGGCCTGTTGCTCATGCGTCTCTGGCCCCCAAAGCGTGACCATGTTGATTGTTTGTTTCCCGAGCTCTGTGGGGACACAGAAACCTCCAGAGAAGCGTGGAAAAGCAGCACCGTGTCTTCACTTTCCTTTCCAGTTTCCTGTTGGGAAACAGGCCATAAGTGGAGACTCCCCATATTGCAGGAAACAGGAATCCATCGTCAGGCCGTGATGCACCAGGCGTTTCTTTTCTCTGTAGTTTCGCCTTTGTTTTCTACATGAAAATGAACGAGATCCATAAGGAATCACAAAAGGATTTATAGCACACAAGTCTTCACTACTGTTACATTCCACTTTGAAATCACTCTGAGGTGAAACAACAATTTTCCAAGATATAAAGAAAAATAGATTTTATAAAAGGGATTCTTTTATTCACTCAATACATCATTTATGTTACTGACAGTAACAAGTGATAGTTTTTCCACTATAATTTGCTCTGATGAAATAAATAATTCTTTTAATTCCTAACAAATGCTACATTTTCAAGACTAAAGGAATTATCAGTAGTCATTCTTTCTTCTTGATCTAAGTTATTTGTCTCTAAAATATGTCAAGTAAGCTTTTAAAGATTCAGGGAGGGGCAGTTTCATGATTTTTTCTCTCAGTAAATTTTGAGGTGGCTCCTCTGGCTTCATCGCTTCACTGTGATCTTTTTCTTCCTCTTCTTTACTATCTTCTTCCATTTTTTCATCCTCCTCACTGTCTAGAGGCTGAGGAATAAGCTGATTACCCACAAATACGTGTGGTAATTCTCTGTTTAACTCTCTTTCTTTTCCTTTTGGGTGGAGCCCTTTGAGGAATACCCTTGGCCTGCATCTCATCATTTATGAAATTTCTAAGTGTGTGTCCAATGTAAATATGAGCCAAGTCCTGTAGATTCCTGACAGTGATTCCTTACAGATTTGTAGTGGTGAGGGTTAGATTTAATTTTATATAAGGTTTGAATAATTGTTAAGCTTATGTAACCTGATCTGAATTTGCACTTCCTCTATGAAAACTTCATTTATCTAATAAGGAAATCAAATGCTTTGTAGACCTATTTATCTTACTTTTGTTGCAATCACTGTTGTTGGGTTGCTGTATATATATTCCAGGCGATATATGAGTGTGATAACCATACAAAATATTGAATAATTTAGCTTTTAAAAATCCCACAAATTTTATGAAATTTTACAGCCCTTCTACTTTTGCTTTTGAATCTCTTGCCAAAAGACATGAATAAAATATCTGCTTCTCTCATAGAGATTTTAAGAACACAGCAAGTGAATTATTAAAATAGGAAGTATGTACTTAATACAACTCTTTATATGGACCCTTTACATTTTCAGTATTTTAAAAAATGAGGTTACCTTAACTCTCTAGAATTTTTAAAGTATATTTAGAATTGTTTTTTTCTATAGTTCACTGTATAAAGTATTTGGTTTTTTTAAAAAAGGAAAACCATTGTTACGTGTGACTCTTGATAGGCCACAGAACGAGTGAATGAGCATGAGTAAGGCCACTTTCTTAGATGGCTGTAAGTAGCTGTGACTTTATCATTGACTTTAAGAGGTAGAAATAAAAAGTTAAAATAAAAAAAGAAAATGAATGAGATCCACACACCTGCGTGTGTGAGACTATCACGGCAACAGCGACACCCACAGGCATTGCCGCCTTCACGGAGAGGGCCTGGAAAACTCAAGACTATCATGGAGGTTCAGTTCCACACTACACCCTTCCAGGGTGGTTTCTCCCTGAAATCGTGTGTGAGCCCACAGAGAAACTTCCAGTTTCCGTAGAATTCTGGAGAACTCAGGGAGACAGCCCCAGAAGCCCTCCTTTCCCAGATGATCTGGCCCCACCTTCACCTACCACACAAGGCCCTGTGTCTGTGGTTTCTGGACCCTTCAGAGGGCCATTACCCAGGGCCCTTGGGTGCTCATGCATATTCTTGAGGGGGTGAAGCTGGTGGGTCTTTATAAGGGCCACTGGCGGGGTCGGACTCCTGACTGGACCTGCGTGAAGCACAGAGGCCAATTGAGGCACACGGGAGCCGCCGGCCTCTCTCTGCCCATGTCTGTCTGTGAAATTCTGGCCAGGTGCCCTCGCGATGGCTCTCCCGACACCTTCTGACAGCCCATTCCCCGCAGAAGCCTGAGGACAAGGATGGCGAAGGAGACTCATTTGTAACCTGAATGAAAAAGATGTCCTGCCAGCATGCTTTGAGCAGAACCTGTACCCGAACTGGACAGAGAGACCGGCATTTTGGAGTCCAGGATTCAGATTTCATGTCATAATCGAAGGTCCAGGTATCCATGCCAGGGTGGCAGGGAACCTGCACACGCACACGGCCTGTGCAACGTGGCCCACCGGGGGTGTCACCCTCCCTCCTTGGTCGCCTTCACCCACGCCAGGGAGTGGGGAACAGGGGGCTTTCGTGAGCCAGACAGCAAAGGTCACCCCTCTGCTGCAGCCCAGCCAGGCTTTGCAGGCAGAAGGAATCTCCCAACTTGCCGCGGCACATGGGGATTTTGGGTTTGCTGCCCTGGCTCCTTCGGAAGTGGCACTGTCCTACCCTCAGTCACCTGGGTGACCTCCGCATCCGAACAGATGGCAGGAGGTCCAGGACCCGTAGTACGGTGGCTTTCTGGGTGGGTGCTCAATGGGACAGCTTGGGCCTCTCAGGCTGAGTCAAACAGATGGCAGAGGGACCAGGACCAGCAGCATGGCAGCCTTCTGGGTGCGTACTCAGTGGGACAACTTGAGCCACTCAGGCTGAGTCACAGGGGCAAGGTGTGCTTGCGCCTCACATGTCCCACATGAGTCCGTACTGGGTCTGCGGCCAGGGTCCACAGGTCACCAGGGCACGTGGGAACATGAATCCGAGGCACATCTACCTCCGCAGCTCGCGCCCATGGAGGCCTCTGCGTGTCAGGAGCAGATGTAAGCCATCCAGGCACCCTCCCAACAGCTCCAGGAGCTGGAGTCTTCATCTGTACTCGCATACACCCTGTTAGATGAGCTTCTGTCGACCCCAGAATTTCAGCAAAAGGCACAACCTTTCCTAGCAACGGAGCTACTGGGGGAGTTGAAGGACTTGGAAAAGCCCGCTTTTCTGGAACCACTCCTCAGCCTAGAAGAACACTGAGCTCAGCTGGAGGAGCTTTAGGACGCAGGGTTGGGACCTGGTGGGGGCAGGGCGGTGGCTCCCTCTTTCGCGGTGAACCTCTGGCTCGGTATGGAAACCTGTGTCTTCCCTTCCAGCTGACTTGTCTAGGATCCCTGAGTCCAGGTCCGGCGAGAGACTCCACAGAAAGGAGGTCTGTCATTCTTTGCTGAGCATCCCAAGGATTTCAGAGCCAGCCCAGGTACTCAGAGATGGGCTGTCTGCTGCTCATGCGTGGGTCCGCGGGCGGCCGGCTAGGGTTTGGGACCAGCCCAGGCAGGACTCTCATCACTTCCCCTGCTCCCACACGGCTTACACCCCCCCGCCCCCGCGTTCTTCAGTGATGTAGGGTGAGACCTCCACCCCAGGAAACACTGGCCTGGGCAGTGGCCAGGCCTCTTCTCCTTTCCACAGCTCAACTCCACTACCTCCCCGCTCCACCCTCCCGTGCCCACCCGTGCGCCGCCATCCTCCTTGGCATCACGTGGAGTGCCCGGCAACTAAATGTAGACCCCGAGATCTCGTGCAAACCGTGGTTCTGACCTTTCTAGGTTGGAGGAAAGCCAGGCAGAGATGGGGAAAGGAACGGAGACAAAGTGAGAGAGAGGGACAGAGGGAGGAAAGGACGGATGAAAGGAGGACCTTGGAAGGGAGGAAGGGAGGGAGGGAAGGAGGGAGAAAGGGAGGTATGGATGGAGGGAGAGAGGGAAGGAGAGAAGAACAGAGGGAGGGAGGGAGACAGGGAGGGAGAGAGGGAAAGAAGGAAGAACAGAGGGAAGGAGGGACAGAAGGAGAAAAGGAGCAAGAAACAGAGAAAGGAAGGCAAAGAGAAAAGTGGTCTTCTGCCTCCAGGACCAGCAGGACCTCGAAATCCGGGAAAATGTTGGGTGCCCAGTGCAGGCTGAGTGCTGGGCCCACGGCCGTGTCGGCTGGCGGTGCGCTTACCGGCCCTCGGGATTGCCAGCCTAGGTTACTTCATCAGGGAGCGATTCAGATGAATTCCACCTCCCAAGGAATGAGCGAATTCCCCAAAGAGCAGAGCCAAGACTCGAATGGTTGTCCGTTTTTCATCCACATGGTTCACAGATGACATATCCCCACGCTGAGCCTGCAACAGATCGCGAGGCAGATACTCCCATCCACACAGGAGTCACACTCAAGCCGAGTGAACAATGATTCCGGATTCCATGTTCCTTTGCCCTCTGCAAGGGGGCCTGTTGCTCACGTGTCTCTGGCCCCCGAAAGTGTAACCATGTTGACTGTTACCTCTAGCGAATCGTGGAAAAGCAGCATCGTGTCTTCGGTCTCCTTTCCAGTTTCAAAACAGGCCATTTTGGAGACTCCCCATGTTGCAGGAAACAGGAATCCGTCATCAGGACATGATGCCTCAGTCCCCTGCCCAGGGTCCAGGCCCACCAGGCGGTCTCCCTTTCGCTGACACTCCAGGCCTTCCCCCAGCTCGCGAGCTCCTGAGCTTCCAACACATCTGGCCGGCTCAGGACAGGGTGTGCTCGGAGGCATCAGGGTGCGGGGCCCACAGTACTGGGATCCCCTCTGGTCCTCCGCCTTGCCATGGAAAAATTGTTTTGGATCCCTCGCCACCCCTCCTGCAAGGCCCCCTCTTGCCCCACACACCCAGAGCTGCCAGGGCTGCCTAGGGGCAAACAGCCAGCCCAGCCCCGCGGGCTCTTTTTCTCACAATGCCCACACCATCATCGCTTCTCCTGATGAGGACCCACCCGTGGCCAATGGGACAGGAAGGCCCTGCTTTGCACCACGCTGGCACTAGAGCCCCGGCAGCCTGATCCTGGGAAAGAGGGGCTGACGGACACCCAGACACAGCACACCACCACCACGAGCAAACCCACCTCGACACACACACAGATACACACGGGTGCACGTGCACAGGCACACACGCACACACACGGACACACACGGACGGACACTCAGACACACACACACGGACACACAAACACACACAGACACATGGACACACTGACACAGACATAAGGACATACAGAAAAAAGACACAGACACAGCTTGAAAGAGAGCTAGGGAGACCGGGATGGAGAGATAGAAATGGGGGGAGAGAGAGAAAGGTGGAGGGGGAGAGAGCCGAAGCTGAAGGAGGAAGTAGAGAAAGGGAGAGGGTGAGGGAGTTGTAGAGCGAGGGAGACAGAGACTTGGAGAGGGAGGTTCTGCTGAAGTGGACAGGACACTTTGAGCAGGCCGGGGTGAGGTGGAGGGTGCTTGGGCCAGGCTAGAACAGGGGATCAGGGCCGCCCACGTGGGAAAACCAACGGATCCCTGAGAGGTGTTTTTTTTTTTCTTGGATTGGTTGGTTGCTTTGGGGGTGCATTTCATAGGGTCCTTCCTTTGTTTGCTTCTTTCTGTCTCCTTGGTGCGATGGGCCCCGAGATTTGTAGAGTTCACCCGTCCAACTGCTGGAAGCCGTGGCACTGAGCATGTCCATGGGGCCAGGCCTGTGTCTCTCTCGTGTCCTCCGGACTAGAGTTTACACGAAGTCGGTGGCAATGGGAAACAGGGTGCAAAGGAACGGATTTTTTTGTGGCTGGTGAAGACAATGTCCTTCCCCTCAGGAAAGCAGCCCATGGGTTCTGGAGCAGAGGCCTTGGCTGGCGACTGTGGGACATGCTGCCCCAGCTTGGACAGATGAGGCGGAGCTTGATGAATGAATTGAATTGCCTGGGGTCCTCGGAGCAGGAAGACACCCCGGAGGGCAGGAAATCCGCGCCTTCGCCTTCCGGGTCTAGTACCTGCCGCAGCGCCCCGACTGGAGCCCGGCTCCTGGTGGGGCTGCAGCCGGGTGAAAGAGGTGGGATGCTGCCGCCTGGTGGTATTGCAGCTGCGGACCCCCACAAGGAAGTTTTATCTCGACATTAATCTTTTTCTTTCTTCAGCTGATCTGTATCCTTAATTTTAGATTAGTGGTAACTCCACAAATTTAGAGGCACAAAATATGGTTGCCCACACCTTATAATCGCATTACCACCTCCCATTACCACCAACTTTCCCCCTCCTCCCCACCCTCAGCCAGTAGACTAGGTCTCACCATGTTGCCCAGGCTGGCCTCAAACTCCTGGGCTTAAGTGATTTGCCTGCCTTGGCCTCCCAAAGTGCTGTGATCAGCGGTGTGAGTCACCATGCACAGCCAACCACCACCAAGTTTTGATTCAGCAGCACTGGGTCGTGGAGCTAAGGACCCACAAATTTAGAAAAGTTTTTAAATATCATAACGTTTCTGTGAGGAAATAGTATTTGATATTACATTTTTAGACTATTTTATAATGTTCTGTTTTTTTCCACTGAGCACAGTACTAAGTATTAATTGGAAAATCACAGCATAAGTCATATTACTTTTTCTAACACAGAGTCCTTGGCTGTTCTCTAAGCTAAACCTGATCACCTACGTTGAGTAAAAGAAAAAGCCCCAGAGTGTGAGGAGACCGGAGATAGTAGCCAAATATCCAAATAGGTGGGAGTGAATAAGGCAGATGACACAGATGAGGTGACCAAAGGTCAAGGAGAAAGCCAGATCTTAAAAAGTGTGGTTTGCGAAGCTATGCTCCAGTGGAAATCTTTTCTAAGAAGCCCTGATTTCTTTCTCTTGCTTTCATTAGAGACAGACATCTTCTGCCCCATGCTCTTCAATTTTCTAGGACTGGACTTCCCCTTCAACGGTCGTTCTTCTAGGTTACAAAGAAAATCAAAGTCCTTTGCATGGCTTACAAGGGACTGGAGGACCTGACTTCTTGCTCTTTTATTGCTTTTGAGGACATGGGGCTGTCTGTGATTTTTAAGGAACTCTGTTAAACATTTTCTAATTTCCATTTTGAGTCTTGTCTAAAATGTGTGAGAGTAGTGGAGATATTGGGATTAGGTTTAGAAATCCCAGAAACACCACATCCAGATGTCCTATGTTTTCTGCTTTATAATTTCATATCCTGTGAAGGTTTCAAATATGATTCTACAGAAATTCATACTCAATAATTTAATCAGAACACTAAGCCTCTGCCCCATAAAAGAAAACCAAATGTTATTTTATTTCAAAATTTTACGTTTTTGGTATGTATTGAGGCTAATACTGTAAACACTCTGTGCCATAATTCCTAAACTGTAATATGGTATAATGTATCTACTTTCTACATTTAAAACATGTACTTTGCCATTGAAGAACTTAGAATATTGCTGAGCATGTATTAAATACCCATTTTTTTCTTGATTTTTAATAATTATTTTATAATTTTCTCTTGTTTAGTTTGAAGCCTACTAGGATTTTGTCATTTATATATATATACACACACACACACACGCACACACACACACACACACAAGTATATACATAACAACATATGTAATTGATATATATGTATATGTTTTATATCTGTGTATATACACACTTATGTGAATATATGCATGTGTACATAACATTAATTTTTTGACCAATAAAAATTGCATAATTATGTATTGTGTATATTATAAAAGTTTGATAGGTATATATATTGTAAAATGTTTAATACAATTAAGTTGATGTATATTTATGTCACCTTACATGGTTATGTTTTTTGTAGTGAGAACATTTGAGGTCTCCTAATGTAGTAGCAAATTTTAAGCATACAAAACACTGTTATTAACTACATCTTAAAGCTATACATTAGACACCCAAAACTTATTTATCTTGTAACTGAAAGTTTGTACTCTGAACACCTTATCATTTTTTCTACCTCCAGGCCTTGTCATTACCATTGTACTCTCTGCTTCCATGAGTTCAGGATTTTTAAATTCTCCATTTAAGTGAGAACATACAATGTTTGTCTTTCTGTGCCTGGCTTATTTTGCACAGCATAATGTACCCAGGTCCTTCATGTTGTTGAAATAGCAGAATTTCATTCTTTTTTTATGGGTGAATAATATTCAGTTGTCTATACCACATTTTCCTTATCCATTCAGCAGCTACAGATAAGTTGTTTAAAAAAAAATACCCTTGACCGTTGTGAATAATGCTGCATTGGATACAAGGGTGCAGATAATTTTTGAGATGCTGATTTTATTTTGTTTATAGACAGAAGTGGAATTTCAGGATTGTACGATACTTCTATTTTTTAAAATACCCTGCATACTAATTTTCACAATGACTCTTCCAGTTTGCAACTCATTAAGACTGTACAGAAATAGTTTGTCACATCCTTATTAACACTTGTCATGTTTCTTTTTTTTGATATTCGCCATTCCAACTGCTGTAAAGTGGTATCTTTTGATATGCTATTTTCTCATGAATGGTAATGTTTAGCATCTTTCTACACACCTGTTGGCCATTTGAATATGTTTGTAAAAAATATTTACTCTTCGTGAGTGGAACCAAGAGGGCAGAAAGGAACAGCTCCCGTCTACAGCTCCCAGCGTGAGTGACGCCAAAGATGGGTGATTTCTGCATTTCCAACTAGGGTACCAGGCTCATCTCAGTGGGGAGTACCAGTCAGTGGGTGCAGGACAGTGGGTACAGTGCTCCAGGCATGAGTTGAAACAGGGCAAGGCATCGTCTCACCTGGGATGCAGAAGGGGTCAGGGAATTCCCTTTCCTAGTCAAAGAAAGGGGTGACAGATGGCACCTGGAAAATCGCATCACTCCCACCCTAATACTGAACTTCTGCAACCAGCTTCACAAACAGCACACAGGAGATTATATCCTGCACATGGCTTGGACAGTCCTATGTCCACAGAACCTTGCTCATTGCTAGCACAGCAGTCTGAGATCAAACTGCAAGGTGGCAGTGGGGCTGCGGGAGGGGCGTCCACCATTGCTCAGGCTTGAGTAGGTAAACAAAGCTGCCCAGAAGCTCAAACTGGCTGGAGCCCACCACAGCTCAAGGAGGCCTGCCTGCCTCTGTAGGCTCCACCTCTGGGGGTAGGGCACAGACAAACAAAAGACAGCAATAACCTCTGCAGACATAAATGTCCCTGTCCCACAGATTTTAAGAGAGTAGTCGTTCTCCCAGCACACAGCTTGAGATCTGAGAATGGGCAGACTGTGTCCTCAAGTGGGTCCCTGATCCCTGAGTAGCCTAACTGGGAGGCACAACCCCTTAGGGGTGGACTGACACCTCACACGACTGGGTACTCCTCTGAGACAAAACTTCCAGAGGAAGCATCAGGCAGCAACATTTGCGGTTCACCAATATCCACTGTTCTGCAGCCATCGCTGCTGATACCCAGGTAAACAGGGTCTGGAGTGGACCTCCAGTAAACTCCAACAGACTTGCAGCTGAGGGTCCTGACTGTTAGAAGGAAAACTAACAAACAGAAAGGACATACACACACACAAAAAACCCATCTGTACGTCACCATCATCAAAGACCAAAGGTAGATAAAACCA
Source organism: Homo sapiens (assembly GCF_000001405.40). Lineage (NCBI taxonomy): Eukaryota > Metazoa > Chordata > Mammalia > Primates > Hominidae > Homo > Homo sapiens. The sequence continues at coordinate 10,165,198 of NC_000024.10, read as the reverse complement.
CAAAGATCGGGAAAAAACAGAGCAGAAAAACTGGAAACTCTAAACATCATAACATCTCTCCTCCTCCAAAGGAACACAGCTCCTCACCATCAACAGAACAAAGCTGGGGGGAGAATGACTGATGAGTTGAGAGAGGAAGGCTTCAGAAGATCAAACTACTCCAAGCTAAAGGAGGAAGTTCAAACCAATGGCAAAGAAGTTAAAAACTTTGAAAAATAATTAGATGAATGGCTAACTAGAATAACCAATGCAGAGGAGTCCTTAAAGGACCTGAAGGAGCTGAAGGCTATGACAAGAGAACTATGTGATGAATGCACAAGCCTCAGTAACTGATGCAATCAACTGGAAGAAAAGGTATCAGTGATGGAAAATGAAATGAATGAAATGAAGCATGAAGAGAAGTTTAGAGAAAAAAGAATAAAAAGAAATGAACAAAGCCTCCAAGAAATATGGGACTATGTGAAAAGACCAAATCGATGTCTAATTGGTGTATCTGAAAGTGACAGGGAGAATGGAACCAAGTTGGAAAACAATCAGCAGGATATTACCCAGTAGAACTTCCCCAATCTAGTAAGGCAGGCCCACATTCAAATTCAGGAAATACAGAGAATGCCACAAAGATAATCCTTGAGAAGTGCAACTCCAAGACACATCATTATCAGATTCACCAAAGTTAAAAGGAAGGAAAAGACGTTAAGGGCAGCCAGAGAAAAAGGTCTGGTTACCCACAAAGGGAAGCCCATCAGACTAACAGCTGACCTCTCGGCAGAAACTCTACAAGCCAGAAGACAGTGGGGGCCAATGTTCAACATTCTTAAAGAAAAGAATTTTCAACCCAGAATTTCATATCCAGCCAAACTAAGCTTCACAAGTGAGGGAGAAATAAAATCCTTTACAGACAAGTAGATGCTGAGAGATTTTGTCACCACCAGACCTGCCCTAAAAGAGCTCCTGAAGGAAGCACTAAACATGGAAAGGAACAACTGGTACCATCCACTGGAAAAACATGCCAAATTGTAAAGATCATCAAGGCTAGGAAGAAACTACATCAACTAATGTGCAAAATAACCAGCTAACATCATAATGACAGGAACAAATTCACACTTAACAATACTAACCTTAATTGTAAACAGGCTAAATGCTCAAATTAAAAGACACAGACTGGCAAATTGGATAAAGAGTCAAGATCCATCAGTGTGCTGTATTCGGGAAACCCATCTTATGTGCAGAGACACACACAGGCTCAACATAAAAGGATGGAGGAACATCTACCAAGCAAATGGAAAATAAAAAAGGCAGGGGTTGCAGTCCTAGTCTCAGATAAAACAGACTTCAAACCAACAAATATCAAAAGAGACAAAGAAGGCCATTACATAATGGTAAAGGGATCAATTCAACAAGAAGAACTAACTATCATAAATATGTATGCACCCAATACAGGAGCACCCAGATTCATAAAGCAAGTCCTTAGTGAACTACAAAGAGACTTAGACTCCAACACAATAATAATTGGAGACTTTAACACCCCACTCTCATCATTAGACAGATCAAAAAAACAGAAAGTTAACAAGGATATCCAGGAATTGAACTCAGCTCTGCCTCAAGCAGACCTAATAGGCATCTGCAGAACTCTCCACCCCAAATCAACAGAATATACATTCTTTTCAGCACCACACCACACATATTCCAAAGTTGACCAGATAGTTGGAAGTAAAGCACTCCTCAGCAAATGTAAAAAAAAAAAAAAAAGAAATCATAATAAACTGTCTCTCAGACCACAGTGCAATCAAACTACAACTCAGGATTAAGAAGCTCACACAAAACCGCTCAACTACATAGAAACTGAGCAACCTGCTCCTGAATGACTACTGGGTACATAAAGAAATGAAGGCAGAAATAAAGATGTTCTTTGAAACCAACGAGAACAAAGATAAAACATACCAGAATCTCTGGGACACATTCAAAGCAGTGTGTAGAGGGAAATTTATAGCATTAAATGCCCACAAGAGAAAGCAGGAAAAATCTAAAATTGACACCATAACATCACAATTAAAAGAACTAGAGAAGCAAGAGCAAACACATTCAAAAGCTAGTAGAAGTCAAGAAATAACTAAGCTCAGAGCAGAACTGAAGGAAATAGAGCCAGAAAAAAACCTTCAAAAAATCAAGGAATGAAGGAGCTGTTTTTTTGAAAAGATCAACAGAATTGATAGACCGCTGGCAAGACTAATAAAGAAGAAAAGAGAGGTGAATCAAATGGACGCAATAAAAAATGACAAAGGGGATATCACGACTGATCCCATAGAAATACAAACTACCATCAGAGTATACTATAAACACCTCTATGTAAATAAACTAGAAAATCTAGAAGAAATGGATAAATTCCTCGACACATACACTCTCCCAAGACTAAAGCAGGAAGAAGTTGAATCTCTGAATAAACCAATAACAGGCTCCGAAATTGAAGAAATAATTAATAGCTTACAAACAAAAAAAGTCCAGGACCAGATGTATTCACAGCCGAATTCTACCAGAAGTACAAGGAGGAGTTAGTACCATTCCTTCTGAAATTATTCCAATCAATAGAAAAAGAGGGAATCCTCCCTAACTCATTTTATAAGGCCAGCATCATCCTGATACCAAAGCCTGGCAGAGACAAAACAAAAAAAGAGAATTTTAGACCAATATCCTTGATGAACAGTGATGCAAAAATCCTCAATAAAATACTGGCAAACTGAATCCAGCAACACATCAAAAAGCTTATCCACCATGATCAAGAGGGCTTTATCCCTGGGGATACAAGGCTGGTTCAACATACAAAAATTAATAAAAGTAATCCAGCATATAAACAGAATCAAAGCCAAAAACTACAAAATTATCTCAATAGATGCAGAAAAGGCCTTTGACAAAATTCAACACTTCATGCTAAAAACTCAATAAATTAGGTATTGATGGGACGTATCTCAAAATACTAAGAGCTATCTATGACAAACCCACAGCCAATATCATACTGAGTGGACAAAAACTGGAAGCATTCCCTTTGAAAACTGGCACAAGACAGGGATGCCTTCTCTCACCACTCCTATTCAACATAGTGTTGGAAGTTCTGGCCAGTGCAATGAGGCAGGAGAAGGGAATAAAAGGCATTCAATTAGGAAAAGAGGAAGTCAAATTGCTCCTGTTTGCTGATGACAAGATTGTATATCTAGAAAACCCCGTTGTCTGAGCCCAAAATCTCCTTAAGCTGATAAGCAACTTCAGCAAAGTCTCGGCATACAAAATCCTGTGCAAAAATCGCAAGCATTCTTATACACCAATAACAGACAAACAGAGAGCCAAATCATGAGTGAGCTCCCATTCACAATTGCTTCAAAGAGGATAAAATACCTAGGAATCCAACTTACAAGCGATGTGAAGGACCTCTTCAAGGAGAACTACAAACCACTGCTCAATGAAATAAAAGAGGATACAAACAAATGGAAGAATATTCCATGCTCATGGATAGGAAGAGCGAGTATAGTGAAAATAGCCATACTGTCCAAAGTAATTTACAGATTCAATGCCAGCCCCGTCAAGCTACCAATGACTTTCTTCACAGAATTGGAAAAAACTACTTTAAAGTTCATATGGAACCAAAAAAGAGCCTGCAATGCCAAGTCAATCCTAAGCCAAAAGAACAAAGCTGGAGGCATAACGCTACCTGACTTCAAACTATACTACAAGGCTACAGTAACCAAAACAACATCATACTTGTACCAAAACAGAGATATAGACCAATGGAATCGAACAGAGCCCTCAGAAATAATGCCACATATATACAAATATCTGATCTTTGACAAACCTGAGAAAAACAAGCAATGGGGAAAGGATTCCCTGTTTAATAAATGGTGCTGGGAAAACTGGCTAGCCATATGTAGAAAGCTGAAACTGGATCCCTTCCTTACACCTAATACTAAAATCGATTCAAGATGGATTAAAGACTTAAACGTTAGACCTAAAGGCATTAAAACCTTAGAAGAAAACCTAGGCATTACCATTCAGGACATAGGCATGGGCAAGGACTTCATGTCTAAAACACCAAAAGCAGTGGCAACAAAAGCCAAAACTGACAAATGGGATCTAATTAAACTAAAGAGCTTCTGCACAGAAGAAACCACCATCAGAGTGAACAGGCAATATACAGAATGGGAGAAAATTTTTCCAATCTACTCATATGACCAAGGGCTAATATCCAGAATCTACAATGAGCTCAAACAAATTAACAAGAAGACAACAAACAACCCCATCAACAAGTGGGTGAAGTATATGAACAGACACTTCTCAAAAGAAGACATTTATGCAGCCAAAAATCACATGAAAAACATACTCACCATCACTGGTCATCAGAGAAATGCAAATCAAAACCACAATGAGATATCATATCACACCAGTTAGAATGGTGATCATTAAAAAGTCAGGAAACTACAGGTGCTGGAGAGGATGTGGAGAAATAGGAACACTTTTACACTGTTGGTGGGACTGTAAACTAGTTCAACTATTGTGGAAGTCAGTGTGGCAATCCCTCAGGCAGCTAGAACTAGAAATACCATTTGACCCAGCCATCCCATTACTGGGTATATACCCATAGGACTATAAATCATGCTGTTATAAAGACACATGCACACGTATGTTTATTGTGGCACTATTCACAGTAGCAAAGACTTGGAACCAACACAAATGTCCAACAATGATAGACTGGATTAAGGCAATGTGGCACATATGCACCATGGAATACTATGCAGCTGTAAAAAAGGATGAGTTCATGTCCTTTGTAGGGACATGGATGAAGCTGGAAACCATCATTCTCAGCAAACTATTGCAAGGACCAAAAACCAAACACCGCATGTTCTCACTCACAGGTGGAAATTGAACAATGAGAACACATGGACGCAGGAAAGGGAACATCACACACCGGTGCCTGTTGTGGGGTGGGGGAGGGGGGAAGGATAGCATTAAGAGATATACCTAATGCTAAATGACGAGTTAATGGGTGCAGCAAACCAACATGGCACATGTATACATATGTAAGAAACCTGCACGTTGTGCACATGTACCCTAAAAGTTAAAGTATAATAATAATAAGAAAAGTTTAGTCTTTTGCCTACTTTTTAGTTGGGTATTATAATTATTATTGTTTAGCTTCTGATTTTTATGAGTTTCTGCTATATTTTGAATACTAACCTCTTATCATATATGGTTTGCAAGTGTTTTCCCATCTTAAATGTTTTCTTATTTTTTGCTGTGCACAATAGTTTAATACACTACATCTTTGTGTCTGGTTTTATTGCTATACTTTGGATATCATATTTAAAAAACACTGCCAAGGCCAGTATCATGAAGGCTTTTCATATGCTTTTTTAAAGATTTTCTTTTAAGGATTTATGTATTAAATTTAAGTCTTTATTTTACATCAATTTTTGTGTCTTATGTAAGAAATATGATCAAGTTTTATTATTGTGCTTGTGAGTATCCAGTTTTCCCATCACTAACTATTGAAAAGGCTACACTTTTTGTATTGCGTATTCATAGTGCCCTTGTCAAAGATTAACTCTAGATGCATAGATTTACTTCTGGGCTCTGTATTCTGTTCCATTGGTTTTTGTGTTGGTTCCTATAAACATTCTATTCTATTATGTTTACTGTAGTCTTGAAATGTAGTTTTAAATAATAAAGTATAATGTCCCCAGATTTCGTTTTATTCCTCATGATTGCTTTGGCCATTCAATATTTCTTATAGTTTTCTATACATTGCAGACTTTATTTTCTATTACTGTAAAAAGTAACACAGGAATTTTGATAGGAAGTCAAATTAATCTACAGATTGCTTTGGATAATATGGCACTTAGACAATATTCTTCTAATCCATAAACATGTAATATATTTACATTTATTTGTATCTTCTTTAATTTTTTTCATCAATATATTTTATTTTTTATCGTAAAGATCTTTCACCACATTGGTTCAATTTATTGCTAAGAAATCTATTATTTCATTGCTATTGTAAATGAGATTGTTTTTTCTTTTTTACTGGTTTTTTGCTAGCATATGGAAACAAAACTGATATCTGTATGCTAATTGTATATTCTACTTCTTTACTGAGTGCATTTATTAGATGCACTATTTATATATAGATGCATTAAATGTATTATTTAAATGTACTATTTATGTTTTTTATATGTAACATTATGTCATCTACAAACTGACGTTATTTCTTCTTTTCAATTTGAATCTTTTAGTTTTTCTTGCTTAATTATTTGATGTATGACTTAATTATTCTATGTAGGACTTCCAGTTCTATGTTAAAATAGAACCGTTAGAATGGGCATAATATAGACTTGCATTGGTGTTTGCGCATTTGGAGGAGCAAACAGCTCGTTTCATTTTTTGTTGTTGTTGTTGTTTTGTTTTTGAGATGGAGTCTCGCTCTGTCACCCAGGCTGGAGTGCTGTGGCACAATCTTGGCTCACTGCAACCTCCACCTCCTAGATTCAAGCAAGTCTCTCCCTCAGCATGCCGAGTAGCTGGGATTACAGGTGCCAACCACCATGTCCGGCTAATTTTTGTATTTTTAGTAAAGAGAGTGTTTCACCATCTTGGCCAGGCTGGTCTTGAACTGCTGATCTCCTGATCCACCCACCTCGGCCCCCAAAGTGCTGGGATTACAGGTGTGAGCCATCGTGCCCAGCCACCTCTGTTCATTTTTATAAACTCATTTTAGTAGGTAAAGATCTTCATCTGTTGGGTCTCAAGGCTGATGAGATCTTTACTGGGTTTGCAGTAAAAAGGCTTGTAGCTGCATCACAAGGTGGCTGCCGAATCTGAAGTGGGTTTTACCTTTAGTGGGCTTGTTACCAGGAGCACGTGTGGTTGTGAGTTCTGTCATGTTTTGGGGCAGGCTGGATTGTCCTCAGGGCTTTGTTTTGTGGGACAGGTACTAGGGCAGGTTCTGCTATATGTTGGGCCTAATGACAGATGTGTGGGTGAGTGTGGCTCCCACTGAGTACCTAGCAGGTTTTCCCCAGGTTATCTACAAACAGTGACTTTTGAACTGTTTCCTGTGAGTCACGAGTATGATGTCCCCAGCTTTTTTCTTATTCCGCATGATTGGTTTGGCCATTCGGCCTACGTTGCAGACTTACATTTTCTATTACCATAAAAAGTGGGACAGGGATTTTGATAGGGATTTGAGTTAACTGAGAGATTGCTTTGGATAATATGACACCTTGTTAACCAAAGGCCCTGCCTTCTCAAAATGACTCTCCTCGATTTTGGGTTTTAGCAAGGTTTCATAATGCCCTGTATCCCAAAGCTCCCTATATTGCCCAGGCTGTTCTTGAACTCCTGGGCTGGCAGTCCTCCCGCCTCAGGCTCCTGAATGGAGGAGATTACTATCATGAGCCACTTTGCCTGGATCTTTCATAAAGTTACTTTGGTTGATGGATGGATGACTAGTTTTTATTGCTGCAGGGGAATACAAAAGTAGGGACCCCCTATTCCACCACCTTGATAATGACACTGTCTCCATACACTTCTTCCTTGTTTTGTTCTCTTGTATGTTTGTGTGTTATTTTAGGTTCAAATATTAAGACCAATAGGCTAGGATTTATACATTGTGTAAAAAGTAAATTAGACAGCTAGTAGGTACCCTATATGTATTATAATATTTACCTATAAGATTAAGTTTAGTGCAGGCAAAAAGGGCTCATTAAAATTTTCGTCCACTTTTTTCAACCTCTATCCAAACTATAATATAATTTATGCCCCAATTTTTATTTTTTCAATTACTCTTAACCGTATTTCATAAAATTTATATTTTTTCTTTATTTAGAAATGCAAGGCTATTATTTGCTTTTAAAGGCTGTAACACAGCTTTTTTATTTTGTGAAATAATAGCACCAATATTATAAATATTTATAGTGTAAATACTTATTCATTAAAATCTTCCCATTAGAGAATTTTATTAATTATTGTAGTGCATTTCTGTAAAATTGTACTGCCACACACCACAGAGCAATGATTCAAAATGCCTGGTCTTCACAGATGCACAGTCAGAGTTGAACATTGTAGTTATTTAGAAAAATTCTTTTCTAGTGTTATATCAATGTTCCAAACAAGATTGTATGGGTAAATATTTCACCCATTCTAGTTTTGCAATTCCATGTTAACTGTATTTTTATTTTAGGTTACATTCCTTGACATTGGTTTATAGAATTTTTGGTTTTACATAAGTTTTATTTTGGATGACAGCCTGCAGCAACTTTTAATGTACAGCTTATGTCAATGTGCAGGTTAATTACAATATGAATCAGCCATATATTTATTCACAATTTAAGTTTAACAAACTTAATGAAAACTAAGCAAACTAACGTTATGAGATAAAGCCCCAATCAGCTATCTTATACTTAAGCAAATACACCAAAAATAGTTTGTAGCTTTAATTCTGCTTTTGTTGAAACTATGTTTTATATTCTGTATGACCAAGGAAATTTCTGACATTGTCCTACCAGGGTAAAGAAACAAACAAAAAGAGAGTGATTATACTTTCAAGTAGCAGTTTGTCTAGAGCCCCAGATATTCCATCTGTAGACCATTATGCTCATATTTGTTTGTTTTAGTAAGGCTGTAGCCCAAAACCTTACATTTTTGTGGAAATTAAAGTTTTCAGTTCCATACTAAAGACAGAACAGCCCCATGATCGAAATCCAAGGGTGATGGTGTAGAGTGAGGACCATTTCTTGTTGACACAGAGATGGTTGAGTTCTTCTATAATAAATCTGTGGGAGATGCAGGTTGTGATGAGTTGGAAGTGATGGTTGCCTTCATGGTCTCAAAGTTCTCCGTCAAGTTCACCTCAGCACTGCTGTACTTCTGTTCTGCTGTCAGGTTGGGAATGCTTGGCCAGTAGTGGTTCTCCACATCGTCCTCAACTGCCAGTGCTTCTCTGATCCACTGCCTGCCAGAAATGCAATTGTAGCAGAGGAGGCTGGTAAGGTCACAGAAGCCAGAGATGGTAACTGCCCACCGCCTGGCTGGGGAAGAGAGTGGTGGGCTCTCAATCCTAGCTCACATGCCAACTGCCATTCTCATCCCAGCACCCAGCGGTGTCCCCCATAATGTGCAGTGTCTGGCCTGAGGTCAATGGAGAGCACAGCTAAGGCCTAAAGTTGAAAAGGGGCTTTCCAGTGCCCCCAGTGTGCTAGATATCTCACCAGCCATGGAAAGAGTCTGTGTCCTTTTGGCCACAGACAGGCAATGATGGGAGGCTGCACACATTTCAGGGCCTTCTGGAGTCTTCATTTGAGAGTTCAGCTCTGGCAACAGAGGACACTTCTGGTGTTCAGAGATTCTCAGTGCCTGGAGGATGTAAAACTCATTGATGTCATCTGCTGGCTTCTGGGAGCACTGCTTGGCCATCCTTATCTGTGGGCCCCAGCCAAGGCACTGCAGAAAGCTTGATCTCTGGCTAGCATTCTGGACTGTGAGACAGCGTGGCTAAAGCTAGCACTGGATGGAGAGAGTACAGTGTGGTGAAGTGGGGACAGTGGGCATTCTGCCACATGGCCTAGGGTTTCTTGTGACTCTGGACTGCCCAGGTGCGGTGACCAGAAGTCAAACCATTTCTAGGCCACAGCTCAAGGAGGGCCAACCCAGACTGAGCCTGGTGATGGTCCTGAATTGAGGAGATGAAGCTGGGAGTCCAGGGAGACTAAAGAAGCTCAGATAAACTCTGCAGGGCAGAGTATTCAGGGCATGAAAAGGACAAAGTCACAAAACAAAAACCTCCAGAGTCTTCAGCTAAATACTGATTAGCACATATATGTGTGAAAACTACAAGTCTGGGGAGGGAAAATACCTGAAGGAAACAGAAAGAAGAATGCTTGAACCTCCCACAGAACCAGGCATATTTGGTGTTCCGACCAGCATCAGTGGACAAACCTTATACTTCCCAGACCATTGGATGGAACACTCAGAAAAGAATTGCCTCAGTAGTGTGGAAGATTAGATCTAGGCCGAGGCTGCTAAGGTCCTACTTAACAAGACCTCAAAGAAAACCCTCAAAGAACCAAAATCTTTCCAGATAATTTAACTGCATCTTAGAACATAGCTCAATAATATTTATAGGAACCCAACAATATCCAACACACAATAAGATAAATTTCATGTTGTCTGCCATCTGGCTGAAAATTACCAGGTATGTGAAGAAAAAGGAAATGTCTCAATAATGAGAAGAAAACTTGATCAATAGATACAGAAATGGCAAATAAGATGGAATTAGTAGGCAATGATATTAAAACAGTTATTGTAATGATAACATTCCACAAGAAGAAGGTAAAGGTAAGGTAGAACATGGAAGTGGAGACATGGAATACCCAGCTGGAACTTCTAGAGATGAAAAATAAAATGTCTGAGATGAAAAATATACTAAATGGTGTTTAAAATAGAATAGATATTGTACAAAAAAGGATTAGTCAACTGGAAGTTGTAGCAGTAGAAACTATCGAAAATGGAACATGGAGAAAATAATGGAAAAAATTTAACAGAAAATCAGCACCAACAGGACTAATATATGTGTAATTGGAGTTCCTGAAGAAGGTGGGGAGGAGTAGAAGAAAAAATATTTGAAAAAACTGTGGCTGAAAAAATTTAAATTTGAGAAAAACTGTAAACCCAGAGATCTAAGAACCAATGAACCCCTATCACAAGAGACATGAGGATGACACACTGAAGCACATCATAATCAAATTGCCCCAAACCAGTGACAAAGAGAAAATCGGAAATGTTACCAAAGGGAAAAGGACATTATACAGAAAGAAACCGAGATGAAAATAGGCTAAGCGTGGCGGCTCACACCTGTAATCCCAGCACTTTGGGATGCTGAGGCAGGAGGATCACTTGAGCCCAGGAGTTCAAGACCAGCCTGGGCAACATGGCAAAACCCCATCTCTACTAAAAATACAAAAATTAGCAGGGCTTGGTGGCACGTATCTGTAACCCCAGCTACTCAGGAGGCTAGGCAGGAAGAATCACTTGAACCTGGGAGGTGGAAGTTGTAGTGAGCTGAGATGGCTCCATTGCACTCCAGCCTGGGCAACAGAGTGAGACTCTGTCTCAAAAAAAAAAAAAAAAAAAAGGTGGCAGACATCTGGTTAGAAACAATGCAAGGCCAGGCATGGTGGCACATGCCTGTTATCCCAGCACTTTGGAAGGCCAAGGCAGGATGATAACTTGAGCCTCAGATCCTGCTTCTGTGAAGTGGCATAATGTTGATAGCAGCCAAGGCTAAGTTAAATACATATACTGTATTATTCTGTTCTTGCACTGCTCTAAAGAAATGTCTGACACTTCTCAAAAGAAGACATTTATGCAGCCAAAAAACACATGAGAAAATGGTCCTAATCACTGGCCATCAGAGAAATGCAAATCAAAACCACAATATCATCACTGGCCATCAGAGGAATCCAAATCAAAACCACAATGAGATACCATCTCACACCAGTTAGAATGGTGATCATTAAAAAGTGAGGAAAAAACAGGTGCTGGAGAGGATGTGGGGAAACAGGAACACTTTTAGATTGTTGGTGGGACTGTAATCTAGTTCAACCACTGTGGAAGTCGGTGTGACAATCCCTCAGGGATCTAGAACTAGAAATACCATTTGACCCAGCCATCCCATTACTGGGTATATACCCAAACAATTATAAATAATGCTGCTATAAAGACACATGCACACATATGTTTATTGCTGCACTATTCACGATAGCAAAGACTTGGAACCAACAAAGATGTCCAACAATGATAGATGAGATTAAGAAAATGTGGCACATATACACCATGGAATACTATGCAGCCATAAAAAATGATGAGTTCATGTCCTTTGTAGAGACATGGATGAAACTGGAAACCATCATTCTCAGCAAACTATTGAAGGACAAAAAACAAAACACCACATGTTCTCATTCATAGGTGGGAATTGAACAATGAGAAGACATGGATACAGGAAGGGGAACATCACACACCAGGGATTGTTGTGGGGTGGAGGGAGGGGGGAGGGATAGCATTAAGAATATACCTAATGTTAAATGACGAGTTAATGGGTGCAGCACACCAGCATGACACATGTATACATATATAACAAACCTGAACGTTGTGCACATGTACCCTAAAACTTAAGGCAAAATAATAATAATTTAAAAAATAATAATAAATAAATTAAAAAAAAAGGAAATATCTGAGACTGGGGCTGGGCATGGTGGCTCACGCCTGTAATCCCAGCACTTTGGGAGGCTGAGATGGGTGGATTACGAGTTCAAGAGATTGAGATCATCCTGGCCAACAAGGTGAAACCCTGTCTCTACTAAAAATACAAAAAAAATTAGGTGGGCTTTGTGGCATATGCCTGTATTCCCAGCTTAGCTACTCAGGAGGCTGAGACAGCAGAATCACTTGAACCAGGGAGGCGGAAGTTGCAGTGAGCCGAGATCACACCACTGCACTGCAGCCTGGGCGACAGGATGAGACTATGTCTCAAAAAAAGAAAATGAGACTGGGTAATTTATGAAGAAAAGAGCTTTAATTGGCTCACAGTTCTGCAGGCTGTACAGGAAGCATGATTCTGTCATCTGCTCAGCTTCTTGGGAGGCCTTCAGGGAGCTTACAATCATGACGGAAGGCAAAAGGGAAGCAGGCATATCTTATGTGACTGGAGCAGGAGGAAGAGAGTGAGGGAGAGGTGCCACACACTGTTAAACAACCAGATCTTGTGAGAACACACTCGCTATATAGTACCAAGCGGGGATGGTGTTAAACCATGAGAAACTGGCTCTATGCTCCAATCACCTCCCTCCAGGCCCCACGTTTGGCATTGAGGATTACATTTCCACATGAGATTTGGGTAGGGACACAGATCCAAACCATGTGATATACCACAAACCATAGAGCAATGATTAAAACTCAAAACCAAACCAAGCAAAAATAGTTATATGTAAAAGACCAACAAAGAAGATTAAATGAAATAAAAATACTCAACAAATTCAAAAGAAGTCAGAGAAAGAGGAAAAGGAGAACGAAATACAGATGGGACAAATAGAAAACAAACAGAAAGAAGACCAATTAAAACCAAACTCTCTGGCATTCCACCAGTTGCGTGTGATTACGTAGCAACTTTCTGCCTCTGACAACAATACCTGTCACACAGGCTTGTCATCAGAGCTTGCCATATGTGATATGGAAAGCCTGCTATTTGCAAACCTGCAATCATTATACATTAGCTCTTATCGTTGGTAGCAGAGACCCACGTCTCTGTGTTGGTCATGCTGAGAGCTCCCTTCTCATTACTCTGTTTTCCTCCTACTTTGATCCCTTTCTGTACTTCCATGCCCCACATCATCTGGTTGGAGAAGATTCTCAGCCTCCCGGTCTGCAAATGTTCAGAGTCCATGAATCAAATAGCCAACAAATCTATTTCTGTATGTTTATCTGCTACCCAGGGATCCAGGAGAAATGCTTTTCTTCCTTCAAGAAGTCAGTGGCTGCTGATGCCAAGAATGTGCTCTCTGTCCTCTTCTCTTTTCTGATCTGCATATTCTCTGCTGCCCTGCACTTCTGGGAAGACTTTACACAGGGACAACTATGAGTTTTTGTAGGATGAGAAGTCACCACTTTGGGAAACATCTATTGGACGTTCCAGTATTGCTGCAGACATGGACTCTAGCATGTTCTCTTCTTCTCTGACACCCACCCTTTCCCCCATTTGCCACAGCAACTTGGGTTTGCTCTTCAGCTATGGCAGTGCCTTCCCCTGGGGAACTGTGACTTGCTTTAAATCCTATCCAACAACACAGTGTGTTCTTATACTCAGTAGGTGTTCAATATACATCTGTTGAGGGATTTCATCACAGTTAAATCTGTGGAGAGTTCAGCAGATAAGTGAGTTGCTCAAGATGGTCAGAGGCTCTTATTCCATTTGGGCTGCTGTAACAAAATACTTTAGCCTAGGGGGCTTATAAGCAACAGAAACTTATACCTCATAGGTCTGGATGCTGGCAAATGGGAGGTCAAGGTAGTGGCAGATTGGGTGTCTGTTGAGGGCCTGCTCTTTATAGAGGGCACCTCCTAGATGGGTCCTCACATGGTGGAAGGAGAACAAGCTCCCTTGGCTCCCTTTTACAAGGCCACTTATCCCATTCATGGGGTCTTTGCTTTCGTGATGAAATCACTTCCTAAAGTCTTTGTCTTCTAATTCAATCCTAACCTATCAGGAGTTAGGTTTCAACACACAGATTTTAGGGGCATACAAACATTGACTATAGCAGAGACATAGCTGTACCTGGGTCTGGGATCTTCTGGGTCCAGCTCCATTATGACACTTACACTGCATATGGTCTCCCACATGATGTAATTCTGTTCTGTGACATTGTGCCCATGAGGCAGGGATGCAGTAGAGGCCTCTGCAGAAGTGGCTTGCTCTTGGGACGTCTGCCTGACTTTGTGCTGCAGGTCTGGAAGAATCCACCAGCTGCCCACTCTCATGCCTGACTCAGGTTCGTGGGTCCCTCCAGGCACATGTTAGATAGCCCACTCAATTTTTTACTTGCCCCACTTCCCTGGGTTCCCTTCTGAGCTCAGGGACCATGGAGGGAGCTGAGAGTCTCTGTTTTTAGTTCATGCTCTTGTCTCCTATTTGGGAACAATGCCCAGGCAAGGGAATCTCTTTCCTACTGTTTTCTAAGAACATCAGGGGCTTTCTCCAAACTCTTCACCCACTCCCTCCACTAATCCCTTCTCCCGCAGGGACACGGGCACAAGCCCACCTCCTGTATGAAGATCCTGCCACAGGATGGCTCTTTGGTTTTCTGCGGGTATCCAGACAAGGAGCTAAAGGTGAATGCACTCCGGAATCCAGGAGCACTGGCGATTTTCTCTCCTTAGCTCAGCAAGCATCCCCACAGATATCCCTCATCCCACCCCGGGCCCCCTGAATCCATACCATAAAATGTATGTCAGTTTGTTTAATTAAGGACTCCGCTGAGTATTTAATCCCTATTTAAGGATGATGTTTATTTTATTTTTGAGTTTAAATTAATCAGCCTCAGGATACAGAATTAGATAAGGCCGGGATTTATCTCCCCTGGAATGATTTGTTTCACATCAAGGCTTCTTAACTCTTTGGCTGCAGAGGGGAAGTGCCTGTATCTTTCTCTGCAGAGTTGCCTAGGGCTGGCCAGGTGAACAGACACGCTCTCTCCTCCCCATCATGCCAGCCAGGGCACGGTGTGTGCTTATGATGCAGGGAGTTAGAATACTAGCCTTTTCATCACAACAGTCATAAATCCTCACACAGGGAAATAGAGATAATATACAAGTAGGAAAAATAAAGAAAAAGAAGCAGTCTTGAATTCTGCTACCTAAAGATAACCATTGTTACCGTGTAGGCAAGCTTCCTTTCATGCTGTGTCAAGTGTTTAAAAAATATGCCTCAATATTACAAACACACAGGACTATGTAGAGGATAATGATATCAAAATTTCATGTACCTCCCAGTTAAAATTCAAACGTGGTAGCTTTTGGATGACTTTTCTCCAGAGTTTAAGGGAAGAAAACTATGGATTCAGCCATAGTGTTCATCCTGACGCTCGAATTATATGTCCCTTTTCTAGTCCAGTTACCGCCTCCCTCCCCACTATTGTGAAGTCAATGTGTGTCTTCCCATCCATGTTTAATACCTAGTGTGCATGTCCATGAAGAATGGATAGTGTTCTTTGGCCTGGTTTTGCAATTTTATACAAATAGCTGTCCATACTTACTCTCCTGAAAGTTGCTTTTCCCTTCAACAATATCTTCCAGATGAATCTAGAATTCTGCATTTCTGGTGACCAGAGGATGGGCGACCCCCCCTGCAACCCCCACCCCAAGGTGATGCTGATGTTCTGGTCCAAGGCCTGCACATAGCCTGGTGAAGCTTGGGGTCTTGGGACAGGTTTGTTGTCAGCACTTCCTTCCTAGGAAGCACAGCCAGATGACCTTGGGGCTGGAGACCTCACTATGCCCCTCGCCAGCAGTGCGCTCATCTGTCTTCACTCATCTTCATCAATATTTTTTATCGCACTTTCTGATATTGTTCCTGGATTCTGCTGGGCAGCTGAATGCGTGCCTTGTGTTTCCCAGCCCTTCGGGTCTCCTCCTCTGTGAATTGCTCCTGTCCCATATGTCTGTTGGGTCTTTGGTTTCTCCTTGCTGACTTGTAAGTGATATATTTTTTTTTAGATGGAGTTTTGCACTTATTGCCTAGGTGGGAGTTCAATGGCATGATCATGGCTCACTGCAACTTCTACCTCCTGGGTTCAAGTGATTCTCCTGCCTCAGCCTCCTGAGTAGCTGGGATTATGAGTAAGTGCCATCACTCCCAGCTAATTTTGTATTTTTAGTAGAGACGGGGTTTCTCCATGTTGGTCAGACTGGTCTCGAACTCCCGACCTCAGGTGATCCACCCATCTCATCTTCCCAAAGTGCTGGGATTACAGGCATGAGCCACCACGTCTGGCCAATTTTGATTTTAATGATCTGGATATCAAGGCTTTTTTGGCCAAATACCTTACAAATATGTTTTCCCTACTGGTGCACTCTATTAGTCCATTTTCACACTGCCGATAAAGACATATCCCAGACTGGGAAGAAAAAGAGGTTTAATTGGACTTACAGTTCCACGTGACTGAAGAGGCCTCAGAAACATGGTGGGAGTTGAAAGATACTTCTTTCATGGCAGTGGCCAGAGAAAAATGAGGACGATGCAAAAGTGGAATCCCCTGATAAAACCGTCAGAACTCGTGAGACTTATTCACTACCAGGAGAACAGTATGGGGGAACTGCCCCCATGATTCCAATTGTCTCCCACCAGGTCCCACCCACAACACAGGAGAATTATGGGAGGACAATTCAAGATGAGATTTGGGTGGGGACATGCAGCCAAACCTTATCATGCACTGTCTTTGTCTTTTAACTTTATTCATCGCCTTTTTTGTCAGTAGTTTCTTTTATGGTGTCTGTGTTTTGTGTCATATTAAAAAAAGTTTTTCTCTGCTTAGTGTCATAAAATCTGTCCTCTGTTTTCTTCTAAAAATTGGAAATCTGCTTTTCACATTTTGTTTCATTTCCTTTGTCCTTTGATTCATAGGGATGTGAGGTAGAAATCTCTGTTAGTTAACTCTTGCTTTGTAACTAGTAACCCCACACCTCAGAGGCCTACTACCATAGGCCACCATTTCTCACTCATGGGCATGAGTTGCTTGGGAGGTTTAAGCTCAAACTGTGGTGGCTGAGCTGGATATGCTCCAAGTGTCTCTGATCCTCCTCGGGTTGGGGCCTGCCAGGGTGCCTTCTTCTCATGGCAATGGCAGGAGTACAAAGAACAAAGGGAAATGTGAAGGTCTCTTATCCTACCACCCAGGCTCAGAATGGGCAGTTTACCACATTCATTGGCCAAAGTGAGACACATGGCCAAACCAGAAGTCAAGGGCAGGAAGTTTAAGTAGGAATCCCATCTCCACCTGCTATGATTTCCGGGACTTTCAACTTCTTACGGCTGAATTGTTTTATTCTCACCTCCGCAGCCTGCAGAAAACACATTTTCTCCAGGACTCATTGAGCCATAGGGCAGAATGATTGTAGTTGACAAGGACTAGATGGAACTCAAGGCTCCAGCCTCTGTGCAGTGGACAGGTGCCATCTGGCCACTGAGGCCACTTCCTTCCCCTTGTCCCCATCTACGGCCTCTGTTCTGCTCTAATCTCCCTGTCATTCTGCCCAGGCCTCCTAGGCATCAGCCTCTTAATAGTTCCTGGCTTCGTTCCCTCTCTTCACTTCTATTATGTGAGGGTTTCCATCATTATTTGGTGTAGGAGGACTGGACTGAGTCAACTCAGCCTGTCACGTCCCCACTCTCAGCACCTGGGTACCCCTGAGTGCTCAGCATGAGTGGGATCCCCCGGTGTCTCCCTCCACAGCACGTTCTGAAGACATATGAGCTGGACTGACATTCAGGACACCTAAACATTTGTTCCACCTCTGCCATGAAAGCTTCATTGGTCCAGGCAAATCATGGCAGCTCTCTATGCCTCATTTTTTTATTCCTCACACAATGGAATGACATAACCCTCAGTGCTTACCTAAGGGAGGAGAAATGATTCCCCTGCCTTCTCCCCATTTCTGCATTTGCCAGAGCATCAGATTTTTGTGTCTGGCCAAGAATATAGGGAAGGAAGAGCAGGTAAGCTTTGGGCACAAAGAGGACGTTTAGGGGTTTCACTTAAGGAAAGAAAGTCAGAAGGCAGAGACAGGTGATGGAGCATGATCTTGGGCCAATGGTGAGGAATTAATGAAGTGCAATGTTCATGGGTTAGGTTGTGTAGCAGCCTGGGTCCCATCAAGAGATAGAAACCACATAGTGGGTCTAACGGGGAAGTGTAGTATAAAGGATTGCAACTATGATAAAAGAGTCACTGTAAGACATAAAGCAACTCTGCCTGGTGCCCTATTGGAAAGAGAGGTACCCAAGGAAGCACAGATTTGAAAGGTGTTCAGATGTCATAAAATGTGGTTCAACCACCACATAAGAGACGTTTGTGGATTTGGGCAGGCTGGAGCTAGTCAGCAGCTTTTGCACAAGCACTGGGCCACCCACTGGAGTGCAGGTGAGGGAGCTGGTCATGAGCTGCTGGAATGCAGGGGAGGGAGCAGGCCGTGAGCTGCTGGTTTGCAAGGGAGGGAGTGAGCCATGAGCCACTGGTGTGCAGGGGAGGGAGCCGGCCGTGAGCCGCTGGTGTGCAGGGGAGGGAGCCGGCCAAGAGCCACTGGTGCAGGTGAGGGAGCTGGCCATGAGCCGCTGGAGTGCAGATGAGGGAGCTAGCCGTGGGCCACTGGTGCAGGGATGCATGGTGGGTGTCTGGCTGCCTTTGTAGTGCAGGAAGCCTCCAGAATGCGTGAGTGCAGGTTCTGGCAGAAGGAATGGCCGCTCTGTGCGGACCCTCTAGAATACAAGTCACCGTGTGCGGGTTGCACAAGGGGTACAAGAGGGGTTCTGGGAAACTTTTCAGGAACCTTCAGATCACATGGGCCCTGCTGCGTTTTGGTTTCCATGTAGAGATGTTGCAAGCCAAGGCTATAAGGTGGCTGAGGGACCACGCCTAGGTCTGAGGTTGGGGATTGAACATGATCAAGGCCCAGCCAGAGAGCTCCTGTCTCCTGGAGTCTCTCCATCCTCTACCTAGATGCCTGCAGAATGTTTACTTCCAGAAGGTATATTGAACAGTGTTTCCCAGTTTATCACAGTGCACATATTGAAAGGTACACTAGGAGCTTGGAGGCAACAGACTGAAAACTGACACTGGAGATGCTGGCTCATAGCAATGAAGAGAAGCTGAAAAGGAGTCGGAAGGAACTAACTGTAATTTTACATCAATGATCTGCACCTTTGTTTTGATGGTTTGTGGTAACCAAAATGACTAATCTTTCTACCCTCCTAGTTCAGACATAGCCTGAGACTTTTTTTTTTGAGATGAAGTCTCACTCTTTCACTCAGACTGGGATGCAGTGGCCTGTTCTCAACTCATTGCAATCTCCACCTCCTGGATCCAAGTGATTCTCCTGCCTCAGCTTCCAGACTAGCTGGGGCTAACAGGCACCCGCCACCACGACCGGCAAATTTTCATATTATGAGTAGAGATAGGGTTTCTCCATGTTGGTCAGACTGGTCTGGAACTCCTGACCTCAGGTGATCTGCCTGCCTCTGCCTCCCAAAATGCTGAGATTACAGATGTGAGCCACTGTGCGCGGCAGCCTGAGACATTTTGGGCAACAGCTGTGACAGAAGAAATGTGCATCCCTTCCGGGCAGGGGATTTAAGAAGTGGCTCATGGCTGATTACGTTTTATTTGCTCTGTTTCTGGAACTGTGGGAGCATCTTCTGGGATAAGGGTCTATCTGTTTGAGGCTCTGAATGACTACGACCACCAGAGACCCTTGTTCACCCGTGATGGATGTGAAATCAATTCAGAAGTCAAGGCTGGGTGTGGTGGCTCACGCCTGTAATCCCAGCACTTTGGGAGGCTGAGGTGGGCAGATCATGAGGTCAGGTAATCAAGACCATCCTGACTAACACGGTGAAACCCCATCTCTACTAAAAATATAAAAAATTAGTCGGGCGTGGTGGTAGTTGCCTGTAGTCCCAGTTACTCAGGAAGCTGAAACAGGAGAATCTCTTGAACTCAGGAGGTGGAGGTTACAGTGAGCTGAGATTGCACCACTGCACTCCAGCCTGGGAGAAAGAGCAAGACTCCATCCACCGCACCCCAACCCCTGCAAAAAAAGAAAAGAAAAGAAGTTAACTTTGCTCTTGAAGCCACTGAGGTTTGGGGGCTTGTTTGTTACACAGAATCACCTGTCCTGACCAATGCATGACTCATTTCATCCTTGGCACAGCCCCTGAGAGAAGGGTCTTTATCCTCATTTCACAAATGAAGAGTCAAATCTCAGAGAGGTTAGCAGCTTGAGCAAGCTCGCACAGCCAGAGATGGAGCTTGGATTTGAATCCTGGTCTGTCTAACCTCAAAGACTGAAGTGGGGATGAAAATAAGTTTTCATTGTTGTTTGCCTGTCACCCAGGTGATGTAACTCTTGTCTAGGCTCTGCCTATGGGGGCTTTGTAACATATCTCTGCATTGAACCCCCTGGTGATGTAACTCTTGTCTAGGCTTTGCCTACTGAGGATTTGTGACG
The DNA here is from genome assembly GCF_000001405.40 of Homo sapiens. Taxonomy (NCBI): domain Eukaryota; kingdom Metazoa; phylum Chordata; class Mammalia; order Primates; family Hominidae; genus Homo; species Homo sapiens. Next base: position 10,144,390 of record NC_000024.10, on the reverse strand, counting down.
TATCTCTGCACTGATCACCCAGTTGATGGGAATCTTGTCTAGGCTCTTCTATCCTTGGATTGTAACCTTGCAGGATCTTGAACTCATATCCTTTCAGGGATTGTAGAAGTGAACACATCAAAGCTGCCATGATAAAGTTGTAGAAAAGTGGGCAATATTGCCAAATGCAAAATATCTGGGCTATATTTTGGTCTGAGATCACCATTTGAGATTCGTGGAAGTTAGGGAATATGGAGGCCAACTCCCATAGGGATGTTGTATAAGACTCCAAGCCCTAAGTCAATGATCTCAACCCTGTGGATCAGCACTCTCCACTTAATGGGACTTCTTAACCCATTTTGTACTACTATAACAAAATACCATAGACTAGGGAATCTATAAAGAAAAGAAATTTATTTCTTAGTGTTCTGGAGGTGAGGAAGTCCAAGGATGAGGGCGTCTGCATCTGGTGAAGGCCTTCTTGCTGTGTCATCTCATGGCTGAAGGCAGCAAAGCAAGACTTTGAGAAAGAAAGAGAGCAAAAGGGGCTGAACTTGCTTTTAATACAAGCGCACTCCCAAGATAACTAACCCACCCCCCAGATAACTAACCTCTTCCTGAGATACTAACATTAATCCATGCATTGGGGCAGAATCTCATAACCCAATCACTCTTATTAGGCCCACATCTCAACACTGTCACATAGAGGATTAAGTTTCCAACACTTGAGCTCTGGGGGACACATGAAGACCATACATGGGGTATTGGTGAGTATATGGGAGGGACCAGTCATGAATATTTTGGCTGAGAGTTGTGTTTGGGAGCTGAAGCCATGCTCCATCATGGCAGGGCACACATAGACTTTTGAATGCTCTGAGGAATGAATATTGAGCAGTGTAACTCATGGTAGAAGGTGGAATATTTAAAAGGCAGAACTGCCTGGGTCAACTAAAAGAGTGAACAAACAGGATGTAGCCTGTGGCTGGCTCCTCTTGTCTTCCCATCCCCACCTTTCACCTTTCTCTCTTTCTTTCCCTCCTTTCCTCTCTCTCTCCCTTCCTTCCCTCCCTCTTTCCTTACTTTCTTCCTTCCTTCCTCTACTTTCTTCTTTCTCTCCCTCCCTGCTTCCTTGTTTTCTTTCCTTCTTTCTCTTTCCCTCTTTCTCTCCCTCCTCCCTTCTTTCTTTCTCTCTCTCCCCATCTTTCCCTCCATCCTTCCTTATCCCATTCTTTCCTTCCTTCTCTCTTTCTTTGTCCCCTTCCTTCCTTTCTTCCTCCCTCCTTCCTGCCTTCCTTTCTTCTCTCTTTCTTTGACTGATGTGTTCTGAGCACAAGAACCCTGTGGGGTACTAAGTGGTACCAAAATTGACTCAAGAATCAAGAAGAAATAGAAAACCTAAGAAGTACTATAACTTGAAGGACATAAAATCTCTAGTAAAATAAAATCTTTCACAAAGGAAGGACTATGCCCGATGGTTGTATAAGCAAATTTTACAGACTTTCAAAGAATGGATCATTCTAATTATGTCCCAAACAACTGTAGCTAGGAATATTAATGATTGATTTTTCAAGAGCTTCATTTCCTAAAATCTGTAGGTTCAAAGGTAGATTGGCATGTGTTGGAAATCCTCAAATGTTGTGCAGTTCCTTGGAGTTTTAGCATTAAAAAAGAAAGGCCTTGCCTGCATTAACTTTGAATTTTGTAACAGTTACCAGTTAATAGAGATACTCTATGCATTTATATACACTCTGATTTTATAGGAATAGAGGCATATCAGACATGTGGCTCTCCACCCAGGTTTTTTTCCTTTGTAACATATCTTGGACATCATTTTTGAGCATCCCTTTAAAATTTATTTTTTTAAATAGCTGCATAGTAGTCTATCATATGAATAACCATAATTTCATAAACAGTAAGATGATAATCATTAATGTGATTCATAAACATTAAGGTGATTTCTAGACTTTTGTTAATTAAAAAGGTGGTATAATACTTTCTCCCATTCATACATAATTCCAGGCATCATAAGTATGTCTGTATGGCAAATTTCTGGAAATGAAATTGCTGAATCAGAGACTATTTCCATTTATAATTTTGGTATATATTGTTTAATCACAATTGATATAGTTTGTACTAATTTATAATCCCAGTAACAAATGTGAGTACCATTTCAAACTCCACAACTTCACTGGCAGTGCTTGAAGTCATGATGCATATTGACAGCCTCCCTTCAAGTAAAGTTCTATTAACTCTACAAAAATTTTATAAATGTCAGACGTTACATTTCCAGATTGTTTTGTGGTAACCAAAAAAGAATTGACTTTTTAGCATTTAGTATATCACATTGAGACAAAATATATTTGTGATAAATATCATTATTGTTATGTATTTAAAACATCTCAAGTATTAAGAAATCATACTTTAGTTGGGGCCAAACTGGCCGATTAGAAACAGCTGTGTCCCATGGCTCTCACAGACAGCAATGAAAACTGTGAGTGAATTCTTCACCTTCAATTGAGGTATTCAGATTCTTGCATTGGAACTGACAAGGCAGACAGCTCGACCCACAGAGAGTCAGGAAAAGCCAGTGGGTCAATGACCCACACAGGTGTGGCAAGGAGCTAGCCAAGCCCCCACACACAGGCAAGGGAGGCCATGAGTGATTGTGTGACTCTGCCCGGGAAACCATGCTTCTCTGATGGATCTTTGCAACCTGCAGATCAGGAGGTCCTCTCATGAGCTCAGCCACCACGGCCTTGGGTTTGAAGCACAGAGCTGTGTTGAGTCTCAGCGGAGTGCTCCCTGGTTTACTGGGGTGTGCATGGAAACCCAGGAATTTTGCATACTCTGCCCAGAGAATTCCAGCAAAGTGGGAGATACATCTGTGCATTCCCCAAGGAAGGGGGCTGAATCCAGGGAGCCAAGTGACATCATTCTGAGGCCCCACTCCCACAGCACCTCACAAGACCCATTAGCTTGGAATTCCAGCTGGCCAGTGGAAGCAGGCTGGAGATAGCTGGAGGTGGACTGAGTTCCCAGGGGGAGGAGCAGCAGCTCTATCTGTGGTTTGAGTTGGCCGCTGTAGGCTGATGGAACCAGGGACCAGTAGGAGTCCCCTATAACACAGTACAGCTGTTGTGACTGGTTATGGCCAGGCTGCTTCTTTAAGTGAGACTGAAATCCATCCCTCTTCACAGGACAGGGCCTCCCCATCAGAATTTTAGCAAGTCCAGCCGGAGTTCTGTGGATGGAACTCGGATTTCTCCCTGGGATGAAGTCCCCAGGGAGATGGGTAGCTGCTGTCTCCCCAGTTCAGCCAACTGAACCTTTTCAGCCTGCTGGCTCTGGAGACTCCTGGGGGTCAGAACAACACACCTGCTATGCCAAAGGGCAGCCAGACTGCTTCTTTAAGCAGTCCCTGATCCTGTTCCTCCTGACTGGGTGAGACCTCCCAACAGGGGTCTCCAGACACCTCTTACAGGAGCGCTCCAGCTGGCATCAAGTCAGTACCCCCCTGGACTTGTGCTCCCAGAGGAAGGATCAGGTTGCCATCTTTGCTGTTTCGCAGCCTTCACTTGTGATACCTCCAGGTGCAGGAGAGACTGACGTGGCTAGGGTTCAGAGTGCACCTCCAAAAACCACAGCAGTCCTAGCCCCAGAGAAGAGAGTTATGACTGTTAAAAACAAACAGAAAGCAACAACAACATCAACAAAAAGACCCCACAAAAGCTCCGTTCATAGGTCAGCAACGTCAAAGATCAAAGGTAGATAAGCCCACAAAGATGAGAAAGCATCAACACAAAAGCGCTGAAAACTCAAAAAGGCAGAATGCCTCTTCTCCTCTAAATGACAACAACACCTCCCCAGCAAGGGTACAGAACTGAACCAAGGCTGAGATGGCTGAATTGACAAAAGTAGGCTTTAGGAGGTGGGTAATAACAAACTTCTCTGAGCTGAAGGAGCACGTTCTAACTTAATGCAAGAAGTTAAAAATATAAAAGAACACAGTAGTTGATAACCAGAATATTCAGTTTAGAGAGGAACATCACATGATAGAGCTGAAAAACACAAAATGAGAACTTCACAACGCAACCACAACTATCACTCACAGAATAGGCCAAGTGGAGGAAAGAATCTCAGAGCTTCAAAACTATATGTCTGATATAAAACAGGAAGAGAAGAATAGAGAAAGAAGAATAAAAAAGAAAGAAAAACAAAACCTTCAAGAAATATGGGATTATGTAAAAAGACTGAACTTAAGACTGATAAGGCTACCTTGACCCACCACAATCAAGATGGCTTCATCCCTGGGATACAAGGTTGGTTCAACACAGGCAAATCTATAAATGTAATTCATCACATAAACAGAACTAAACACAAAAACAACACGATTATCTCAATAGATGCAGAAAAGGCCTTCAATAAAATTCAACATCCCTTCATGTTAAAAACTCTCAATAAACTAGGTATTGAAAGATCACACCTCAAAATAATAAGAGCCATATATGACAAACCCACAGCCAATATCATACTGAATGACCAAAAGCTGGAAGCATTGCCCTTGAAAACTGGCACAAGAAAAGCATCGCCTCTCTCACCACTCTTATTCAACGTAGTACTGGAATTTCTGGCCGGGGCAATCAGGCAGTATAAAGAAATAAAGGTATTTAAATAGGAAGACAGAAAGTCAAATTATCTTTGTTTGCAGATGATATGATTCTGTATCTAGAAAACCCCATCATGTCAGCCCAAGAGCTTCTTAAGCTGATAAAGCACATCAACAGAATCTCAGGATACAAAATCAATGTGCAAAAATTGCTAGTATTCCTATATGCAAACAACAGGCAAGTAGAGAGCGAAATCGTGAATGAACTTCATTCACAATTGTGACAAAGAGAATAAAATACATAGGAATACAGTTAGCAAGAGAAGTGAAGAACCTCTTCAAGGAGGACTACAAACCACTGCTCAGAGAAATCAGATAGGACACAAACAAATGAAGAAGCATTCCATGCTCATGGATAGGGAAGAATTCATTCCTGAAAATGTCCATACTGCCCAAAGTAATTTATAAAGGAATTCAATGCTATTCCCATTAAACTACCAATGACATTCTTCACAGAACTAGAAGAAACTATTTTAAAATTCTCATGAACCAGAAAAGATCCCAAATAGCCAAGGCAATTCTAAGCAAAAAGAACAAAGCTGGAGGCATCACAATACCCTACTTCAAACTACAATACAATGCTACAGTAACCAAAAGAGCATGGTACGGGTACAAAAACTACCAATGAAACAGAATAGAGAACTCTGAAATAAGACCATACACACAAAACCATCTGATCTTTGAAAAATCTGACAAACACAAGCAATGGGGAAGGGATTCCTTATTTAATAAATCATGTTGGGAAAACTGGCTAGCCATATGCAAAAACTGAAACTGGACATCTTCCTTATACCTTACACAAAAAATAACTCAAGATGGAATAAAGACTTAAACATAGGACCTAAAACCATAAAAACCATAGAAGAAAACCTAGGCAATACCATTCAGGACATAAGCATGGGCAAAGACTTTGTGACTAAAACACCAAAAGCAATGGCAACAAAAGCCCAAATTGACAAATGGTATCTAATTAAACTAAAGAGCTTTTGCACAGCAAAATAAACTATCATCTGAGTGAACAGACAACCTACAGATTGGGAGAAATATTTTGCAATCTATCTGTCTGACAAAGGGCTAATATCCAGAATCTACAAAGAACTTAAACAAATTTACAAGAAAAAAACAGGCCCATCAAAAAGTGGGCAAAGAAAACGAGCAGACACTTCTCAAAAGAAGACATTTATGTGGCCAACAAACATATGAAAAAAAGCTCATCATCACTAGTCATTAGATGAATGCAAATCAAAACCACAATGAGATATCATCTCACGCCAGTTAGAATGGTGATTATTAAAATGTTAGGAAACAGCAGATGCTGATGAGGCTGTGGAGAAACAGGAATGCTTTTACAATGTTGGTAGGAGTGTAAATTAGTTCAGTCATTGTGGAATACAGTGTGAAAATTCCTCAAAGATATAGAACCAGAAATACCATTTGACCCAGCAATCCCATTATAGGGTATATACCCAAAGCATTATAAAATATTATACTATAAAGACACATGAACCGTATGTTTATTTCAGCACTGTATGTTTATTTCAGCACTGTTCACAATAGCAGACTTGGAACCAACCCAAATTGCCATTAATGATAAAATGGATAAAGAAAATGTGACACATATACACCATGTAATACTATGCATTTATGTCTTTTCCAGGGACATGGATGAAGCTGGAAACCATCATTCTCAGCAAACTAACACAAGAAAAGAAAATCAGGCCAGGAGCAGTGACTCATGCCTGTAGTCTCAGAACTTTAGGAGGCTGAGGTGGGGAGTTTGAGATCAGTCTGACCAACATAGAGAAACCCCATCTCTACTAAAAATAAAAAAAATTAGCCAGACATATTGGCACATACCTGTAATCCTAGTTACTTGGGAGGCTGAGGCAGGAGAATCGCTTGAACCCAGGAGGCAGAGGTTGTGGTGAGCCGAGATCACAGCATTGCACTTCAACCTGGGCAACAAGAGTGAAACTTTGTCTCAAAAAAGAAAAAAAGAGAGAGAAAGAAAAAGAAAAGAAAACCAAACACTGCATGTTCTCACGCATAAGTGGGAGTTGAACAATGAGGACACATGGACACAGGGAGGGGAACATCACACACTGGGGCCTGTCATGGGGTGGGAGGCTAGGGGAGGAATAGCGTTAGGAGAAATACATATGTAGATGACGGGTTGATGGGTGCAGCAAACCACCACGACACGTGTATAACTATGTAACAAACCTGCATGCTCTGCCCATGTATCACAGAACTTAAAGTACAATAAAGAAAACTGCATAAATGCATAAAGTCTAGAACAGCTAATATATTATAATGAAATGTCAACTATAATCCCAGCTCAAAGACAACACCATAAAATTATGAAGAGCTCTCCACAAATCTCTAAATTTATGTCCTCATAAGGTTACATTTCTATTTCTTCTTGAACAATGTCTTCATTTTAGCTATGATTTAGTGATAGTAAGATGGTAATAATGAGAAAATTCTCCCAACATTCCATTGAGAAAATTCTGCCTCATTTCACCACACACCCGAGTCTTAAGCAATCACTTCTTATGTAGCTGAATAACAGATCCTCACCCAGCTGAGTTTATGAGTTGAATTCATGTATGTGAGATAAGGACCCCAAGGAGAGGTAATAAGCTGGGAATGCCATCAGCTCATCTTTCTTCAGGCCCATATTTGTCATTGTCACTTGTAGAAGCAGGACAGCCCTGGCATTGGGATTGGTAGTAAGAGAGAGTGTCAAAGGGAAAACTGAACTTCCCTAATTTTCGGAAAACAGCACATTGGAAACAGATGGGCTCCAACGTTTTCCATGTGTGAGGTCATTTTCCCAGGTAGCCTTGCTCAGGACATTTCTTGTCAGCAAAACAGAAGTCAAACGATAATTCTACCTTCCAAGAGAATAGAACATAATGTCAGGTTTTCTCATGGATTCCCACAAGTTCAAGAAATTTTCATGGCCTTATTTAACTGCTTAAGCATTTCAACTAAAAAATTATTTGTCTTTCAAATACACAGGAATCTGTTGGGAAAAATTTTAACGAGAAAAATTTGGAATTCTAAAGTAAAAAATGCATAAGGCCATAAAAATTTTTTATATCTTTTAATTTATATGTCAACTGGGGAAAAATTATCTGAAGTTTCCTTTTATATCATTAAAGACTTATTCTTTATTACCAGCAATACAGGGCGACTTATTCAGGTTGAATCTTGAAGGTAAACTTTAACTTAATTTTAAGTTTTGGCAAATTTTTAAGCATTTCTCAGTCACCTAGCATTATTTCATCTCAGAAACCAAAGTCTCAATTTCATCTAGACCTTTGAAATATTAAAATAGAAGGTTAAATGCTTCAAAATAATATTCATATAGAGACTTACATATGTGGACCAGGAATCTCCATGTATTTCAAAGTTTATGAGAACATAACAAATGTTGATACACATATTTAATTCTGAAATAAAAACTTACAACAAATAAAACAAACAAATCAAGAAAATTTTGTAGGTTACACATTTTATATCTAAAAATATAGGTATGAAACTCTCAAGGATGGAAAAAGAAGAAATCACAAGAGCAAATATATGGGGACAAATTAAAAACATGAAATACCAAAAGTTAGGAGATACATCAAAAACGGTACCATAAGGGAAAAATTTATAGCTATAAATGATTATAAAAAATAAGATACCAAATCAACAACTTTACTCCTAAGGAACTAAAAACAGAGAGAAAAAGAGGGACTATTAAAGAGGGACAACTAAAACTAGCAAAAATTAAAAAAAAGATAAAATTTGCAGTGGAAATAAGTGAAATAGAGAATAGAAAAACCATATCAAAAATCAACACAACCTAGTTTGTTCTCTGAAAAATATCAAAAGTGACAAAATTTTATCTAGATTGACTAAGAAAGAAAGGGAATATTCAAATTACTAAACTCAAAAATAAAATGGGTATATTACTAACAAATTTTTGGAGTAAAAAAGGGGTGTAGGAGAGTAACATAAGGAACTATACACTAAAAAATTGAATAGCCTAAATAAAATGAACAAATTCCTAGGAAAAAAAAACCTACTAAGACTGAATCAGAAAAGTTGAATAAACCTATTCAGCAAGGAGATTCAGCAGGAAGATTACATCAGTAATCAAAAACTCAGCAACAAAGAAAAGCTTGGACAAGATGGCTTCACTGTTAAATTCTACCCAATGTTTAAAACAGAATTAACACCACTTTTTCTCAAACTTTTTCAAACGTTGAAGAGGAGGTAATTTTTTCTAACTTATTCTGTGAGTCCAGTATTACCCTGGCACCAAGACAGAAAAAGGCACCATAAGAAAACTACAAACAAACATCCCTTATAAATGCTGATGCAAAAATCCTCAACAAAATACCAGCAACTCAAACTTAGCAGTACATTAAACGGATTATACACTATGAATGAGTATAATTGACTCCTGAAATGAAAGTATGTTCCAATACATGAAAATCAGTGTAATATCGCATTAACATAAGGAAAAAACCCGCATGTGATCATCTTAAGCAAAGAAAAAGAAGCATTTGTCAAAATTTAATGCACATTCATGATAAAATATACTTAATAAGCTATAAAAAGAAAGAAAACACTTTACATAATGCTGTACAAAAAACAAAACAAAACAAAGAAACACAGCTAACATGGTGAAAGACTGAAAGCTTTTACCCTAAGAGCAAAAACAAGGATGCCTGCTTTTACTACTTCTATTTAATATCTGTTTGAAGATGACATAACCTTATATATTAAAAATCTTTTAGTTTCCGTGAGATAAACTCTCAGACGCAATAAATAAAATTCAGCAAAGCTGGAGGATAGAAAACAATACACAAAAATCAGTTGTATTTCTACAATAACAATAAACTATCTGAAGAAGAAATCAAGGCAACAGTATCATGTATGATAACATCAAAAGAATAAAATACGTAGAAACCCAGTTAACCAAGGAAATGAAAAACCTGTACAGCAAAAACTATAAACATGGCATGAAAGTATTAAAGATGACACAAATAAATGAAAAGACATCAAGTGTTTATGGACTGGAAGACAAAACCTTGTCAAGGGGCCATTGTTATCTATAGTCATCTACAGATTCAGTAAAATCACTATAAAAATTCCAATATTTGCAAAAATAGAAAAACCTATTCTAAAATTCAGTTGAAATCTCAAAAAACCCCAAGCAGCCAAATCAATCTTAAAAACTGACAAAGTTAGAAGAGTAACATCTTCTGGTTTCAAACTTCAGTATGCAAAACAATGCTGTAGCAGCATAGAGACAGACACAAAGACCAATGCAATAGAAATAAAGAACCAAAAAACATGGTCATGATTTTTAACAAGGGCGTCAACACTGTTCAATGGGGAAAGGACGGTATTTTTTTTAAATGGTGTTAAAAACGGATATATACGATTCTGTGAAGAAAGGCATTGGTAGCTTGATGGGGATGGCATTGAATCTATAAATTACCTTGGGCAGTATGGCCGTTTTCACGATATTGATTCTTCCTATCCATGAGAATGGGATGTTCTTCCATTTGTTTGTATCCTCTTTTATTTCCTTGAGCAGTGGTTTGTAGTTCTCCTCAAAGAGGTCCTTCACATGCTTTGTAACTTGGATTCCTAGGTATTCTATTCTCTTTGAAGCAATTGTGAATGGGAGTTCACTCATGATTTGGCTCTCTGTTTGTCTGTTGTTGGTGTATAAGAATGCTTGTGATTTTTGTACATTGATTTCGTATCCTGAGAATTTGCTGAAGTTGCTTATCAGCTTAAGGAGATTTTGGGCTGGGAAAATGGAGTTTTCTAGATATACAATCATGTCATCTGTAAATAGGGACAATTTGACTTCCTCTTTTCCTAATTCAGTACACTTTATTTCCTTCTCCTGCCTAATTGCCCTGGCCAGAACTTCCAACACTATGTGGAGTAGGAGTGGTGAGAGAGGGTACCCCTGTTTTGTGCCAGTTTTCAAAGGGAATGCTTCCAGTTTTTGCACATTCAGTATAATATTGGCTGTGGGTTTGTCATAGATAGCTCTTATTATTTAGAAATACGTCCCATCAATACCTAATTTATTGAGAGTTTTTAGCATGAAGAGTTGTTGAATTTTGTCAAAGGCCTTTTCTGCAGCTATTGAGGCACTACTTTAAAGTTCATATGGAATGAAAAAAGAGACTACATCGCCAAGTCAATCCTAAGCCAAAAGAACAAAGCCGGAGGCATCACACTACCAGCCTTCAAACTATACTACAAGGCTACAGAAACCAAAACAGCATGGTACTGGTACCAAAACAGAGATATAGATCAACGGAACAGAGCAGAGCCCTCAGAAATAACGCCGCATATCTACAGCTATCTGATCTTTGACAAACCTGAGAAAAACAAGCAACGGGGAAAGGATTCCCTATTTAATAAATGGTGCTGGGAAAACTGGCTAGCCATATGTAGAAAGCTGAAACTGGATCCCTTCCTTACACCTTATACAAAAATCAATTCAAGATGGATTGAAGACTTAGATGTTAGACCTAAAACCATAAAAACCCTAGAAGAAAACCTAGGCATTACCATTCAGGACATAAGCATGGGCAAGGACTTCATGTCTAAAACACCAAAAGCAATGGCAACAAAAGACAAAATTGACAAATGTGATCTAATTAAACTAAAGAGCTTCTGCACAGCAAAAGAAACTAACATCAGAGTGAACAGGCAACCTACAAAATGGGAGAAAATCTTCGCAACCTACTCATCTGACAAAGGTCTAATATCCAGAATCTACAATAAACTCAACAAATGTACAAGAAAAAAACAAACAACCCCATCCAAAAGTGGGCGAAGGACATGAACAGACACTTCTCAGAAGAAGACATTTATACAGCCAAAAAATACATAAAAAATGCTCATCATCACTAGCCATCAGAGAAATGCAAATCAAAACCACAATGAGATACCATCTCACACCAGTTAGAATGGCAATCATTGAAAAGTCAGGAAACAACAGGTGCTGGAGAGGATGTGGAGAAATAGGAACACTTTTACACTGTTGGGGGGACTGTAAACTAGTTCAACCCTTGTGGAAGTCAGTGTGGTGATTCCTCAGGGATCTAGAACTAGAAATATCATTTGACCCAGCCATCCCATTACTGGGTATGTACCCAAAGGACTATAAATCATGCTGCTATAAAGACACATGCACACGTATGTTTATTGTGGCATTATTCACAATAGGAAAGACTTGGAACCAACCCAAATGTCCAACAATGATAGACTGGATTAAGAAAATGTGGCACATATACACCATGGAATACTATGCAGCCATAAAAAATGATGAGTTCATGTCCTTTGTAGAGACATGGGTGAAATTGGAAATCATCATTCTCAGTAAACTATCACAAGAACAAAAAACAAACATCGCATATTCTCACTCATAGGTGGGAATTGAACAATGAGATCACATGGACACAGGAAGGGGAACATCACACTCTGGGGACTGTTGTGGGGTGTGGGGAGTGGGGAGGGATAACATTGGGAGATAGACCTAATGCTAGATGACGAGTTAGTGGGTGCAGTGCACCAGCATGGCACATGTATACATATGTAACTAACCTACACAATGTGCACATGTACCCTAAAACTTAAAGTATAATAATAAAAAAAGAAAATAAAAAAATAAATTTTAAAAAAAGATCAGAAATTAGAGTCCCAGAAGGATTAAATAATTTTCTGAAGGACAGTTGATGTAAGATTTAAGTCTAGAGTGTGGAATTTTTTTGTACTGGTGATTAGAAGGTGAAAACAGCATTCACAGCTATCAGAATTTATTGAATGTTGGGAGTTCCATGCCCTTAGTTATTTTTCTAAGTGGGGTAAGCTATTTAGCAGTTAAGGTACACTTGCTACACTGACAGAAGATTTCAGACAATGCAAAAATGGAAACAATATGTCTGAATGTTCAGGTATGTTACAAGAACTCATGGGCCCATTCACTGAATTAGTCTGTAGCCATGCTTTTGATCAGGGGGCTAAACTGGGTCCGTGGGATGCAGTTTATTACAAGTAACAATGGCAGAGAGAAACTGAGATTTTTGGTATTTTATCACAGGAAGCAGATATATTCTCATGGTCAGGAGGGCAGTCTTAGCTTTTGGAGTGTTTGTGAGCGAGCTAGGGTGCTCTTACTCTCATTCTGATACTGCTGGCTTCTAGATTGTTCTTCCCTCTCTGCTGCCACTAATTATGAGCCCAGGAGAGGGAACTCAGAAACTATTCCTGAGTAACTTTGCTCTAAGAAAGACCAGTTGTGCAGACTCTTGACTACCTTCTTCAACCAAGTTTAATGTCTTTCTTGATCAATCCAATCAGAAGATTATAAGTAAAATAAGCATTCATGTTCATAAATGAAAAAATCAAAAGAAATAAATATGCCTCACACATTTTGGAGGCTCTCTATTATTTGCCATGTATCATAGTAATTGATTCAAATGTGCAGTTGACCATTTACAATCAGCTTTTCAAAAAGCACCAGTTATTCCGATTGTATTTTCATTGCTCCATTGTTAAAGAAGACAACTGTGTAAGAATTCATGAATATGTATGCAAATTCATTCTTTTCTATTTTTTCTTAGCATTGTCCCTGATAATCTTTATAAATTATAACTTACAAATTTAGTTCTTTCCTTCGTCGATTTAAGAGTTCTTAAACTTATATTGAAATCAGAAAGAGTTTATACATGATAATAAAATGATCTTAAGAAGCACTTTTCCCGTACATGTCTTGTTGCTTTTGTGGTTTATGTCCTGTATGAGGGACTTGCTTATGATTGGAATTGTTAGGTCTTTTTATATCTTTAAATATTTTGTGATTATTATTCCATTGTGCTCTGTAAGTCTTGTGGTTGATGTGCTTGTATGGAAAACAGAAACAGATATATGTACCAAACACAATAAACTTCCTTTCACTTGTTCACCAAAAAAAAAAAAAAACAAAAAAAATGGATATTTACATATATCTATCTATCTCTATATATATTTATATGTATATATATTTATATGTATGTATGTATATGTGTGTGTATATATATGTGTGTGTGTATATATATGTGTATATATATATCCCAAATTAGCTTTTTGTCTGTCATGTATGTTGCAGATCTATTTCCCCAGTCTGTTGACTTTTGACTTTGAGGTATTTTTCTCTCATACAAAATTTTAAATTTTAGGGAGTCAAATACAACCTTGGCGCCAATCTGGTTCCCGCACTGCCCGGCCTGCGTGAGCACGATTTCCTTCATGGCCAAGGCGGGATTAGAGCGGCAGGAGAAACGTGAGAAGGAGGAGCAGATGGGCAGCTACCCAGCCCGCCCTCCACCAACGCTGAAATAGCCCCGCACCCACATCCGTCAGCCTCAGATTCGGCTCCCAGAATAAGCAACAGCTTTACTTCCACACAGGTGTACCCATTTGTTAATCCCTTGGCGTTGAACGTCTGTTGGAGAGCTCCGATGTCCTTGCTGTGGTCCTTTCCAAGTTGGGGAAAGCTGGTCAACTGGAAAACTTCCTCCCACATCTTTAGTAAGACTAAATCCCTAGCTGAGCTGAAACTGAATTTTCCTCCCATGTGGTAGGGGAAGACTCTTGTTTCCATATTCACAAAGTGCCTTTGCACCTGTCCTAGATTGATGACATATTTTTGTAATTGTTGAGTCTTTTCATCTATTAGGAGACCTGTGCTTAGGAAAGGTCTTCCAAATGTTAACTCAACAGGATTTAATTATAAGTTTTACTTTGGAGCAGTTCAAACCCACAGTAAGCTATGGGTGTTAGAGATAGTCAGGCATCTGATTTAGCTAGAGTCTTCTTTAGAGTAGGATTAGCCCTTTCACCTTTCCAGAGGACTGCAGTCTGCACACAGAGTAAAGGTAATATTGGATTCTTAAAGCTGAGGATAGGTGTTGGGATACACCAGCTGTGAAAGATGGGCCATTGCCACTTTGCAGGCTTTTAGATTACCCAAACTGAGGAGTTATTTCTTCTGGTAAACATTTTTCAGATGGGGTGGGGAATGTCTCGATCTAACCAGTGAAGTTATCAGTAAGCGTTAGCAAATATTTGAATCTCCTGCAGAAAGGTATCTAAGTAAATTAGAGTTGCCAGTTCTCACCTGGATAGGTTTCTCAATTTTGGACAGGTTTACCTGGAGAAGGAGAAAATTGCTGGCCATTTGGGTCATGTCAGGCACAGAGCTCACAGGGCTGAGTCACCTGTTTTGGTGTCTTGAAAAGATTTACCCCTATAAACAAATGAGATATTGACAGAAACCAAGAATCCCTTCTAGGGTGAAAAGAATCATGAAAGTGCTGAATTATATTCCTACAATTGGTACTTGGAATTTGTAATTTATTACTATCATTCAGCCAGCCACAGGGGCCCTGGACTGAAATGAAATCCCTGGCCCATTTTTCTTCTTCTTCAGAGTGTTCTGGCTCAGTTCTATGTATGCTTGCCAGCACGCCCATAAGCTTCATTGACCCTTTCAGTGCAGGGGCCTTGGCTGCTTCATCTACAAGGGCATTTCCTTTTATATGGTCAGTCTCTCTTTTGATGTCCTCTGCAATTAATTATAGTCACTTTTTGGCAGCAAAGCAGCATTCTAACAAGCTCAAAATCTGAATGATGTTGTAGGGAAAAGCCCTTGGGGGTCAGGAGCCCCTACCCATTCCAAATTGCAGCATAATCATGAAGCACTAAAAAGTCATACTTGGAATCAGTGTAAATGTTAACTTTTAAATCTTTCCCAAATACAGGGGCTGAGTAATTTCAATTAACTCAGCTTTTCGAGCTGAGTTCGAGACCAGCAAGACTTGTGCCTTGATTCTCTTGAGCTGACTACTAATAGCATATCTACCCCTCCCGTTTTCCTGATGCATAAAACAATTTACATCTGTTAACCACTCTTCCTTAGGATGGTCAAAGGGCTCATCTCTCTTAAGTCTGGCCTGCTAGAATAAATTTGTCTCATAACCTGTGACATGCTTTGGCTGTGTCCCCAGTCAAATCTTATCTTGAATTGTAGCTCCCATAATTCCTGTATATCATGGGAGGGAACCAGTGGGAGGTAATCTAATCGGGGGATGGGTCTTTCCCATGATGTTCTCGTAACAGTGAACAAGCCTCATGAGATCTGATGGTTTATTTATTTATTTTTGAGACATAGTCTTGTTCTGTTGCTCAGGCTGGAGTGCATTATCATGACCTTGGCTCACTGCAACCTCTGACTCCTGGGTTCAAGCTATTCTCCTCTCTCAGCCCCCCGAGTAGCTGGGATTACAGGTGCCTACCACCATGCCTGTCTAATTTTTGTACTTTTACTATAGACGGGGTTTCACCATGTTGGTCAGGCTGGCCTCGATCTCCTCACCTCAGGTCATCCACTGCCTTGGCCTCCCAAAGTGCTAGGATGACAGCTGATGGTTTTATAATGGGGAGTTTCCCTACACAAGCCCTTTTGCCTGCTGCCATGTAAGAGATGAGACTTTGCTCCTCATTTGCCTTCTGCCATGAGTGTGAGCCTTCCCCGAACATGTGGAACTGTGAGTCAATTAAACCTCTTTTCTTTATAAATTACCCAGCTTCAGATATGTCTTTATTAGTAGCATGAGAACAGACTAATACAACCTGTATGTCAGAAAGGCTAGAAGCTCCTGAGGACACTGGCAGATAAGTAGCTGGGTTTATGGTTTGGCAGCCTTTAAGGGTTATGTCTGGAGTGTCTAGCAATAAAGCCTGATACTTTCATAAATGTTCTCCTATTATCCATTGCTGCTCTTTAGCTTCTAGGATTACCTTCCCTTGATGTGGGGTCAAAAACCTGTAGGTGCTGTTCTAATGTTAGTTTATTAGCTTTGCCTGCTAGAAAAGTGGTAGCAGCAATATCTCTAAGACACAAAGGCCACCCTGAGGCCACCTGGTCTGCCTGCTTAGAAAATTAGGCTACTGGCCTTGGAATGTCCCCCAGTTTTGGGACAAGATTACCCAAGGCCTGTGCTTTGCTTTTTGGTCACATAAAGAAAAAATAGTTCATCCAACTTGGGGACTCCCACGGCTGCAGCAGAGCCCAATTTCTCCTTGAGAGTATTGAAGGTTTGCTTGCAGTTGTCATTACATTCTAGGAGCTCTAAATCTTTCCCTTTAGTGTATCATATAAAGGCTTGGCTATATGCCCAAATCTGGGCACCCATAAGCAACAGTACCCAGCCATCTAAAAAAGCCCACAGTCATTTTTTGGACAGGGACCCTTGGGTGACTAAAATAACTTTTTTATCTTCTAGGGATGTTGATCAGTTCCAGAGGTTAAGACAGATTCCAAATATTTAAGTCTTTCGGTCAAAATCTGAGCCCTGTATGGTGATGCAATATATCTGCAAGTTCCCAGGAAATTTCCCAACTTAACATTATTATTATAAGTCTTCTTTAGTTGGGCTAGCAATGAGCAAGTCACCTACATACTGAATAATTTTGTCCTTTTCCAATTGCAGATTTCTTAAGTCCTTAACTAGAGCATTTCCCAATAAGTGGGGGCTATCCCAGAACCCTTCAGAGATGACTGTCCAGGTTAGTTTTGAGGCTGAATGAATATCTGGATCAGTCCATTCAAAGGCAAACATATTATGAATCTGGATGCATTGAGATCCAGAAAAGTGCATCTTTCAGATTTAAGAATGTAAACTAGCTTGCATCACCTGGGACTTGGTAAGTATTGCGGACAATGAGGTGTATGGAGACAACTGCATTTCTTAATGCTCTAAGGGTTCTGACAAATCTGTACGTGCCATTAGGCTTTTTATCTGGTAACATGCGAGTATTGTAAGGAGACTCACATGGCCTTAATAACTCATATGGCAAGAATTTGGCAATAAGGGGTTGAATTTCCCCCATGCTTCTTGCCTTAAACTGTATTGTCTCTTCTGAGGTCGAGGAGCACTAGGCTGAAGTTGGATTTGAATGGGGGAGGTGTTTAGTGCGTTTCCCAGAGCCTGTGTGGCCCAAACCTCAAGATTTACTTGAGACAACACCTCAGGTGGTAAATGTGACAGCTCATTCTTAACTTCTTTTTTCCCCTGAGGGGTCAGGAACAAAAGTAACACTTTCTATGCTTCATGATCTGTGAAGGTGACCATGACTTTGTCTCCTGAGTCAATAAACCTCTCCCCAGTAAGAGGTCAGGCAATCGGACAATTACTAAAAAGGCAGGTGAGAAACCTAGAGGCTCTGGAGGACAACTTAGAAGATACAAAAAGGAGTGTTTTGGGGCTTGTCCATCATGAGAAGACAGTAGCCCATTGTATTGAATCAGGACAGAGTAATATGCTCCCACACCTAATAAGCAGTTAATACTCCTACCTTCTACTTCAAGAGTCACCTGAGGCTCCTCCATTTCTCCGTAGCTAATAGTCCAATGGGAGTGGAGGTAGGAAGTGTCAGGCCCTGCCACTTTTGAGTCTGCTGGGCTCTGATGATGGCTCCCTTGGAAGCACAGTGCATTTCCTTTGGCAGTGGCTGACCTTCCTACAGAAGGCACATTGATTTACATCCAAGGTACGGTGGCCCAGAGGCACAAACTGGGACTTTCACCTTCTCACTTCCTCTGTGAGGGCCAGGGGTTAAGGGGATGCCTCTGAAGTGGTGGAGAGCACAAGGCTGCAGCTAGAAGCTGGGACTCTTGGAAGATTTTCTTTATTTTATGTTTTGTCTGCCCAATCCCTGTGATGGAAAACTGCAAAATCCAAGTCTAAAGTCTGATCCATGGGAATCTGGAAGCCTAAGACTGCTTTTGGCAGCTTCCTGCATATATCAGGGGACCGCCACTATAAATTAAGCTCCTAGCAATGCCTGTCCCTTTTTGGAGTCAGGGTCAGTGTTAGTGTATTTCCTCAAGGTCTAAATTATCCACCCTTGTAATAAGGCTAGGTTTTCATCTTTTTCCTGAGTAATTTTCCAGACTTTATAAAAATTAAAAAGCTGTATCACACTTTTTTAAAATTCCTTCACGGAGTCAAACGATCATAATTTTTCTCTATATATCCCACTTTCTTCCTAATTTATTTGTCTAGATTCTAGTCCTCTTTTGGGTCCTAGTCAGGCACTGCTGAGCCTCCTACTTGATAGGTGCCATGCCTCTGGTTGCAGGCTGCCACCCTATTAGCATGTGCTCTAGCCACTCCCATAATGCACTGCTCTTCTATCATGCAGCAGGTAAACATAAATATATGCAAATCCTGCCTGGTCAGATCATACATCAAGGTTAGCCTTTTAAATTTGTCTGTGAATTTTCCTGGAATCTCTGAAAACTGTTTTAGTTTTTCCTTGCATATGGCTAATTCAGATGTAGAAAAGTGTACATATACATATATAGTGTGGGGAAAAGAAAGAGAGATCAGACTGTTACTGTGTCTATGTAGAAAGAAGTAGCTATAAGACACTCCATTCTGTTCTGTGCTCACAGCAACATGTGCTATGTTGACTCAAGGTTTAATGGATTTAGGGCTATGCAGGATGTGCTTTGCTAAACAAATGCTTGAAGGCAGCATGCTTGTTAAAAGTCATCACCACCCCCTACTCTCAAGTACACAGGGACACAAAACACTGCGGAAGGCCACAGAGACCTCTGCCTAGGAAAGCCGGGTATTGTCCAAGGTTTCTCCCCATGTGATAGTCTGAAATATGGCCTCATGGGAAGGGAAGGAACTGACCATCTGCCAGCCTGACACCTGTAAACGGTCTGTGCTGAGGAGTTTTAGTAAAAGAGGAAGGCCTCTTTACAGTTGAGATAAGACAAAGCCATCTGTCTCCTGCTCGTCCCTGGGCAATGGAATATCTCAGTGTAAAACCCGATTGTATATTCCATCTACTGAGATAGGGGAAAACTGTCTTAGGGCTGGAGGTGAGACATGCTGGAGGCAATACTGCTGTTTAAGGCATTGAGTTGTTTATGTATATACACATCAAAAGCACAGTACTTTTTTCTTTACCTTGTTCATGATGCAGAGGCATTTGCTCACGTTTTCCTGCTGACCCTCTCTCCACTATTACCCTATTGTCCTGCCACATCACCCTCTCTGAGAAATGCCCGATAATGATCAATAAATACTAAGGAAACTCAGAGACTGGTGCCAACGCAGGTCCTCCGTATGCTGAGCGCTGGTATCCTGGGCCCACTTTTTCTCTATACTTTGTCTCTGCGTCTCTTTTCACAAGTCTCTCATTCCACCTGATGAGAAATGCCCACAGGTGTGGAGAGACAGGCCACCCCTTCAATATAGTGTCCCTATTATCATCTCTCTCTTCCCAGAGAGGGCAAACATTCAACTTTGTCAGCTGATAAGGGGTCCCACTGCATGTTGTTCTGGTGAAGATCGGGTGTTTCGAGAGTGGGGTATGTATGTAAGACAGGACTCAAAGGGCAGGGAGAAGAAGATGACCAGAAACTAGATAACCCAGGAAAACTAGAAGAAATTTATAACATGTTGCACACCTCACTAGAACTGGAAGGAATCTGACTGTGTTCTTATGGGGTGCTTGGACTGGCAGGGGGAGTTCAGCCCCAGCTAAGAAAAGCCCAATATTAAGAGGCACTTGCTTTGAAACGGTAATCAATAACGTGCCATCCCTATTTTATCTTTTCCTCCATCAAACATATAGAAGCCCATTTTAATTTTTTATCCTGACCAAGCATCAGAGAAGCCTGTATATAATGTATTTCCTCCCTCTTAGTTTCTCTTCTATAAAACAAATTAAGCTGCAAAATAGGAGTCAGATCAAACAGGGGAAATGGGAAGGCTGTAATTTGTATATTGTAATGTATTACTCCATTTTCACACTGCTATGACAAAACTGACAAAACTCAGGAAAAAAGTGATATGCTGGGTTTAGAAAGTAGGGTCCAGCTGCCCTAAACCAGCTCATCAAAGATGGCATTATGGCTAAGAAATGAGAGAAAACTGTTAAGAAAAAGTCTCATGTTCTCCATCTAGAGGGTAATTGTTTGCAGAGGGTTGTCATATAAGAGGCTGTCACTAAACAGGCATATCTGATCTTATCATGTAGAGCTCTTAAATACCATATTTCAATTTCTAGTCATAATGATGGTGAGGTTACTGCTGATCTTTTCGAATAATTAAGGTACAAAAATACTGGGTTCCAAGACAATTCTTTTTTTCAGTGTCACTTGGACCAGTGGCAAATTAAACTAGCAGTCAGTTAAGAGTCAGAGGATAGCTGAGGAAAGTAAAAGCTAAACTATTTGGGGCCTCTGTCCTGGGGCAGCCTCCAGGCTACTACAAAGCAGAGGCGGTGAGCAGAAAGGTGACAAGATGTAGAGCACTCAGGTGAGGGACAGAGAGCACAAGGTGGACAGTCCAAAAAGAGAAAGTGGCAAACATCTTGTTTAGCCAAATCCATTCTTCTCAATATTCCCCAGGGCCTCTAACCCTGTGGGCTTGGCCTCTAATCTGAGTATGATAATAGTGGATAATCATTCTTGCCCACCAGAATGGCTTCACAACTCTAAAAAACAGACCACTTGCCAGGTGTCAGCTGATTGATTCCGTGTGGATTGTGTCCGTTCATGGTGTTGTTGAAAGATATCACTGGAAAAGAGGGTCCTGATATAGACCACAAAGTAGTATTCTTAGGTCTTCTGCAGGAAAAAATTTGAGGTGAGTCAGAGAGCACAGTGAAAGAAGCAAATTTATTAGAAATTACTCCATTACAGAGTTGGACTTCCTCAGAAAACAAGAGCAGGAACGCATTGTCTTTTGTTAGTGTCTCTACTTATAAGTAACTATAAACAGAAAGAGTTATAATTAAACTTGGAAGGTGCAGATGTAGTCACTAAAGTCTGGACTAGTGGTTTTAACAATAACCATTAACCCATTGACCTAAGCTAGCTCATTAATAATATCCTTACAAAAAAATGCTGCACTCCTAGGACATTTATACATTTTTCAGGCTTGGTGGAAGATGTCTTGTATGACCACAAATATTCTGCAATTGTAATTTGTGGCCAGTTAACAATTGTGACTATTTTCAGACCATGAACATTAACCTTCTGGATGTCTTATGAGTACCTAGCTACTCATATTAAGATAGAATATTCTAGTCATGTTTATTAAACTAGAAGCTAAGTAACCATGAGTTCCTCTAACACAGCAAGTCTACTCCTCAGGGAGAAAATGTATTTCTCAGGAATTTTGTGCGTTTTGTTTGATGGCATTTGGTACGTTTAGCAAAATGGCAGAAAAGAGTGAAATTAGTCCTCAAAGATTTCTCAAGATTGGATATAAAGTAAACAAAATGATTGTAGTTAATATGCAAGTTGGTACAGTTGGTATTGAAAAGAAATTTGGTTTGAAACACAATGAGATTTTTATTTTTACTTATTTTATTATTATTATTATTATTAATTATTATTATTATTATTTTGAGACAGAGTCTTGCTCTGTTGCCCAGGCTGGAGTGCAGTGCACCATCTTGGTTCACTGAAACCTGCACCTCCCGGGTTCAAGCAATTCTCCTGCCTCAGTCTCCCAAGTAGCTGGGATTACAGACATGAATCACCACACCCAGCTAATATTTGTATCCTTAGTAGAGATGGGGATTCACTCTGTTGGCCAGGCTGGTCTCAAACCCCTGACAACAAGCGATTTGTCCACCTTGGCCTCCCAAATTGCTGGGATTACAGGCATGAGCCACCACTCCTAGCCACAATGAGGTTTTTAAATAATTCTGATTTCCTGCTGTTGAGCAGGGAGCTGAGCAAATTTAACAGATCATGGGCCTAAACTAGGGGAAGACTGAGGACAAACTATAGAACACATGTGATTAAATTAATTACAATGGACACCAAATCAAATTTAATAAGGCTGTACCTCTTAGTTTCAAGACGTTTCCCTTCATTTTGAAATGTGGTGTTATTTCATGGAAAAGAAAACGAGTGTTTATCTCCAGAGTAAAGAACAGGGTTCCCTGCAGGGATTGATTGACTGAGAACTATGACTCGGTATTAAAAATCCTTCTTTTTTCCATTTATAAACTAAAAATAAATTTCTAAACCCCTGTTGACTAAATGGACCTCTCTTCTTGGATAGGGACATTCCAAAATTAACCTGAAAAGCTAGTTCAAGCCATGGGTCACACATGCCTCATTATACTCTCCTCCCTTTGGTTTTAATTTTAATTTCAATTTCAATTTTTAATTTATCTTTGTGGGTACATAGTTGGTGTATATGTTTATGCGGGTACATGATATACTTTGATGCAGTCATGCAATGAGTAATACATAATAAAAAACGGGGTATCTGTTCCCTCAAGCATTTATAGCTTGTGTTATAAACAATCCAATTATACTCTTTTAGTTTTTTTAAATGTGGAATTAAATTATTTTTGACTATAATCACCCTGTTGTGCTATCAAATGCTGTCTTATTCTTTCTTTCTAACAATTGTTTTTTACCCATTTAGCATCCCCACTATCCCCTTGTTCCCTCCCTGCCCTTCCCAGTCTCGTAACCATCCTTATAATCTCTATCCCTATGACACCAATTGTTTTGAATTTTAGCACCTACAAATAAGTGAGAACTTGTGACATTTGTCTTTCTCCGCCTCACATTTCACTTAACATACTTTCAGTTCCACTTATGTTAATGCAAATGGCAGGCTCTCATTCTTTCTTAGAGCTGAATAGTACTCCATTGTGCATATGTACCACACTTTCTCTATTCAGTCATCTGTTGATGGACATGTAGGTTCCTTCCAAATCTTGGCTATTATAAACCCTGCTGTAGCAAACATAAGAGTGCCAATAGGTCTTTGATTTACCAATTTTATTTCTTGTAGGCATATACTGAGCAGTGGGATTGCTGGACCATATACTAGCTCTATTTTTAGTTATATCGGTAACATCCAAACTGTCCTTAAATGTGCTCCCTACAGCAGTGTACAAGGATTCCCTTCACTCCACATACTCACCAGCATTTGTTTTTCACAGACTTGTGGATAAAAGCCACCTTAACTGGGGTGAAATGATATCTCATTTTGGGTTTGATCTGCATTTCTATGATGATCAGTAATGTGGAGCACCTTTTCATTTGCCTGTTTCACATTTGTATGTCTTCTTTTCATAAATGTCTATTTAAATTTTTTGTCCACACTTTATTTGGGTTATTACTTTTTTCTATGGAATTTTTTGAACTCAATATATTGTAGTGTATTAGTCTGTTTCTGCACTCCTATAAAAAAATACCTGAGATTGTGTTACGTATTTATTTACTAAGATGAAGTCTTGATCTTTTACCCAGGCTGAAGTGCAGTGGTGCAATCTCGGCTCACTGCAACGTCCACCTCCTGATTCAAGCAATTCTCTGCCTCAGCCTCCTGAGTAGCTGGGATTACAGGCACCTGCCACCATGCCTGGCTAATTATTGTATTTTTAGTAGAGACGGGGTTTCACCATCTTGGCCAGGCTGATCTTGAACTCCTGACCTCGAGATCCACCTGCCTCAGCCTCCAAAAGTTGTGAGATTACAGGCATGAGCCACGGCACCTGGCAAGACTGGGTAATTTATAAAGGAAATGGGTTTAATCGACTCACATTTCCACATGGCCGGGGAGGCCTCAGGAAACTTACAATAATGGCACATGGGGAAGTAGTCACCTCTTAAATGACAGCAGGCCAGAGAGCATGTATGTGAAGCAAAGGGGGAAAAGTCCCTTATAAAACCATCAGATCTCATAAGAAATCACTCATTATCAGAAGAACAGCATGGGGGAAACCACCCCCATGATCCAATCACCTTCTACCAAGTCTCTCCCTCAACATATGGGGATTAAAATGCAATATGAGATTTAGGTGGGGACACAAATCCTAACCATATCATGTAGCTATTAATTGCTTTTCAGATGGATAATTTGCAAATACTTTCTCCCATTCTGTGGATTTTCTCTTCACTTTGTTTCTTGTTTCCTTCACATTAAAAAGGCTTTCTGACTTCCTGTAATCCCATTTGTCCATGTTTGTTTTGGTTGTCTGTCCTTCTGGGGCATTATTTAAGGAGTTTTTGCCCAAACCAATGCCCTAAAGAGTTTTCCCAATGTTTTCTTGTAAAAGTTTGATGGTTTGAGGCGTTAGGTTTAAGTCTTTAATTCCTTTTCATTTGATTTTTGTAAGTGGCAAGAAATAAGGTTCTAGTTTTATTCTTCTGCCTATGGTTTGCCAGTTTTCCCAGCCCTATTTATTACAAAAACTGTCTCATTTTTTATTGTATGTTCTTGGCACTTTTGTTGAAAATTAATTTAGGTGTCCCTCCCATAGGATTCCAGAACACTGCTACGAGGTTCTGAATGTTTGTCCCTCGCATAGGATTCCAGAACACTGCTGCTGGGTTCTAAATGTTTGTGACATAGGATTCCAGAACACTGCTACGAGGGTCTGAATGTTTATTCCTCACAGGGGATTCCAGAACACTCCTGCTGTGGTCCAAATGTTTGTCCCTCACATAGGATTCCAGAACACTGCTATGAGGGTCTGAATGTTTGTCCCTCACACAGAATGCCAGTTTTCCCTCCCCTATTTATTACAAAAACTGTCTTATTTTTTATTGTATGTTCTTGGCACTTTTGTTGAAAATTAATTTAGCTGTATGAGTTTGTTTCTAAGGTCTGTACTTCATTCCATCTGTCTTTACATCTGTTTTAATGCTAGTATCATGCTGTTTTAATTACTATAACTTAGTAGTGTAATTTAAAACCAGTAATGGAATTCCTCCAGTTTTGTTTTATATACTCAGCATAGCTTTGACTATTATGGTGTTTTGTGATGTTTCCGTAAAAATTTCAGAATTTTTTTTTCTATATCTGTGAGGAATGTCTTCTTCTTCTTCTTCTTCTTCTTTTTTTTTTTTTTTTAGATGGCGTCTTGCTCTGTCACCTAGACTGGAGTGGAGTGATGTAGTGATGTGATCTCGGCACACCGCAACCTCCACCTCCTGGGTTCAAGCGATGCTTTGCCTCAGCCTCCTGAGTAGCTGGGATTACAGGTACCCGCCACCATGCCTGACTAATTTTTTTCTATTTTTAGTAGAGATGGGTTTCACCAAGTTGGCCAAGCTGGTCTTGAACTCCTGACCTCATGATCCACCAAATTTGGCCTCCCAAAGTGCTGGGATTACAGGCATGAGCCACTGTCCCTGGACTGTTATTTTGATAGAGATGGCATGAAATATATAGATTGCTATGGATTGTATGGAGGTGTTTTAAAAATACTGATTCTTCCAATCTGTGAACATAAAAATATCTTTCCAATTTTTGGGTCCTTTTTCATTTCTTTTATCAGTGTTTTACAGTTTTAATTGTTGAGAACTTTTATTTGGTAAATTCCCACACATTTTGTTTTATTTGTGGCTACTGTAAATAGTATTATATTTTTGAATTCTTTTTCAGTTTGTTGAGTATTGACATATAGAAATCCTACTGATTTGTGTATGTTGATTTTGTATTCTGCAAATTTACTCAAGTTATTACTTCTAATAGTTTTTGTGGATGTATTAGGCCATTCTCATATTGCTATAAAAAGTAATCAGTGACTGGTTTATTTATAAAGAAAATAGGTTTAATCAGTTCATGGTTCTACAGGGTGTACAGAAAGCATTGTGCTGGCTTCTGCTTCTGGGGAAGCCTCTGACAACTGACAAGGTGACAAATAAATCTGGGGTTTGCACATCACATGGTAAGTGTGAGGGCAGGGGGGAAGTGCAACACACACTTGTAGATAACCAGCTCTCATGAAAACTTACTATTGTGGGAATGGCACCAAAGGAAGTGATGCCAAACTGTTCATGTAAATCTTGCCCTCATGATTCGATCACCTCCACTCTAGGCCCACTTCCAACATTGAGGATTATATTTCAATATAAGATTTTGGTGGGAATACACATCCAAACTGTATCATTTTGCCCCTGGCCATTCCAAATCTCATATCCTTCTCATATTTCAAAATACAATCATGACTTCCCAATAATCCCCAATGTCTTAACTAATTTCAGCGTTAACTCAAAAGTCAAAAGTCTCATCTAAGACAAAGCTAATTTCTTCCTCCTATAAGCCTGTAAAATAAAAAAACAAGTTAAGTTCTTCCAAGATACAAATGAGACAGAGGCATTGGGTAAACACTCCTATTCTAAAAGGAAGAAATGAGCCAAAAGAAAGGGGCCACAGGACCCATGAAAGTCTGAAACCCAGAAGGGCAGTTATTGAATTGTAAGGCTCCAAAATACTTATTTTTGACTCTCTGTCCCATTTCCAGGGAACACTAATGCCTTGGGAAGATTCTACCTTGTGACTTTGCATGGTTCAGCCCTCACAGCTGCTCTCATGGGCTGGCATTCTGTGCCTCTGGCTTTTCAAGCTGCAAGATGCAGGCTGTAGCTAGATCTACCATTCTGGAGTCTGGAGGACAGTGATCCTCTCCTCACAGATCTACTAGGCCATGACCTAGTTGGGAGCCTCCCTGGGGACTGTCACACTACATTTCTTTTCTCCATTGTTTTAGTAGAGGATCTCCATGAGGGCTCCACCTCTGAAGCATGCTTCTGCCTTCACACCCTGGCTTTTTCATACATCCTCTGAAATAATAGTGGAGGCTCCCAAGTCTCAACTACTTGCTTTTGTAAACCCACAGGCCTAACACCACATGGAAGCTACCAAGGTTACGACTTGCACCTTCTGAACCAGTGACTGGAGTTTAAATGGGTCAATTTGGGCTACACCTGGACCTGAAGCAGTGGCCAGGATGTAGGGAGCCTTGTTCCAAAGCTACCCAAGGCAGCAGGTCCTAGGCCTGATCCCAGAAACTATTCTCTTCTTTCAGGCCTCAGGGCCTGTGATGGGGGGCTGCTTTTTAGATTTCTAAAATGCCTTCAATTCCTCTTTCCCATTGTCTTGGCTATCAAGACTTGCTTTTTTTTTAGGTTATACAAATATCTCTAACAAGTGATTGACCCATGTCCTGCTTGAGTTCCTCTTATAAAAGCTTTTTCGAGTTCAGCCACATGACTAGGCTGCAAAGTTTTCAAGCATTTACACTATGCTTCTTTTGTAAGTATAAGTTACTACTTATTTTATTTTTATTTTTTTTGCTGGAACATGTGAACATAGGTTGTTAGAAGCAGCCAGGCCACATCACAAATGCTTTGCTGCTTAGATATTTTTCCAACAGAAACCCTAGATCATCAATTTCAAATTCACACTTTTCTATATCCCTAGGGCATGACAGAAATTCGGCCAACCACTTTGCTAAGACAACATGCATGACTTTTGTTTCTGTCCCAATAAGTTTCTAGTTTTCATCTGAGACCTCAGCCCGGCATTCACTGTCCAGACCACTATCCACATTTTGGTCACAGACATTCAACCAGTCTCTAAGAAAATCTCAACTTTCCATCATTTTTCTGTCTTCTGAATCCTACAAACTCTTCCAACTTCTATCTGTTTACCCAATTACGAAGCTGATTCCACATTTTGGGTTATTCTTATAACCATTTTCCATTCCTTGGTGCCAATTTTCTGTATTAAGCTATTTTTCCATCACTATGAGAGTGGGACTAGATAATTTATTTTTTACATAGTAGGTTTAAGTGGCTTATGATTCTACAGGCTGAGGAGAAGACATAGTACTGGAATATGTTTCTGGGGAAGTCTCTGGAATTTTGCAGTCATGGCAGAAGTTGAAGCAGAATCTTGCACATCACAGGGCAAAAAGCAGGAGCAAAAAACAGAGGGGAGAGTTGTTACACAGTTTTAACTAAGCAGTTCTTATGGGAACTCACTCACTATCATGAGGATAGCACCAAATGGGATGGTGCTAAGCCATTTATGAGTAATCCATCCCAATGGTTAAATCACCTTCCACCAGGCCCATCTCCATCATTCAGAATTACATTTAAATATGAGATTTGGGGAGGGGACACACATTCAAACCCTATCAGAGGAGTATTTATGCTTTTTCCAATATAAGATTTTATCATTGGCAAAAAAAAAAAGGTAATTTGACTTCTTTTCCAACTGGGATGCATTTTATTGCTTTCTCCTTCCTGTCTGATTGCTCCAGATAGGACTTTCAGCATTATGTTGAATAACAGTGGTAAAAGTGGACATTCTTGTCATCTTCCAGATTTTAGAGTAAAGGCTTTTAGTTTTTCCCCACTTAGTGTGATGCTAGCTGTGGGTCTGTCATATATGACTTTTATTATGTTGAGGTTATGTTCATTCCATACCCAGTTTTCAAAGTGTTTTGTTATTAAAGAATATTAAATTTTATCAAAAATTGTTAGCATAATTGAAATGATTATATGGATTTTGTCCTTGTTTTATTGTTTTGTTTTGTTTTGTTTTGTTTGAGATGAAGTCTCCCTCTGTCACCCAGGTTGGAGTGCAATGGCATGATCTCAGCTCAATGCAACCTCTGCCTCCCAGGTTCAAGTGATTCTCCTTCTTCAGCCTCCCAAGTACCTGGGATTACAGGTGCCCACCACCATAACTGGCTATTTTTTGTATTTTTAGTAGAGACGGGGCTTCACCATGTTGGACAGACTGGTTTCAAACTCCTGACCTCAGGTGATCCACCCACCTCGACTTCCCAAATTGCTGGGATTACAGATGTGAGCCACTGTGCCTGGCCCCTTCATTCTCTTTATGTGATCTATCACATTGATTGAGTTGCATGTTGAACCATCCTTGCATCCCTGGGATAAATCCCACTTGGTCATTATGAATTACTTATTTATGTATTGTTTAATTCAGTTTGCTAGGTGTTTTGCAAATTTTTGCACCAATATTCTCAGATATGGGCCTGTAGTTCGCTTTTTTAAATATGTCTTTGTCTGGTTTTGATATCAGGGTAATACTAGCCTCAAAGAATGAGTTTGGAAGTGTTCTTTCCTTCTCTAGTTTTCAGTCTGGTCCTACAGACTCTTTTATTAAGGCATTAATTTTGTTAATTGTTATTGATCTGTTCAGGTTTTAGATTTTTTCCTAGTTCAATCTTGGTAAGTTGTGTTTGTCTAAGAATTAATTTCCTCTAGGTTTTCTAATTTGTTGGCATAAAATTGCTGAGAGTATTCATTAATGAAACTTTGCTTTTCTGAAGCGTTACTTGTAATGTCTCCTTTTTCACCTCTGATTTACTAATCTGTATCTTTTTTGTTTTTCAGTTAGCCTGTTTAAATATTTGTCAATTGTTTTACTTTTCAAAAAATCAACTTTTTCTTTCATTAATTCTTTACATTATTTTCGTCATTTTAAATTTATCTACTTCTGCTCTAATCTTTATTATTTCTTTTCTTCTAATTTTGGGTTAGGTTTGGTCTTTTTATTCTAGTTAATTAAAATGTATTGTTAGGTTATGTATTTGAAGATTTTCTGTTTTTTATGTAGACACAGTTATAAATTTTCCTTTTATAATAGTACCTCTTTTACTATATTCCATAGCTTTTTCTATGCTATGTTTCCATTATCATTTGTTTCAAGAAATTTTTCTATTTTCTTTTTAACTTTTTTATCGGCCTACTAATCATTCAGGAGCATATTGTTTAATGTCTATGTGTTTGTATAGTTTCTTAAATTCCTTTTTAAATTATTTCTAGTTTTATCCCCTGTAGTCAAAGAAAATGCTTCATATTACTTCAATTTTTTGGAATGTTTTTATACTTGTTACATAACATATGGTCTATCCTTGAAAATAACCCATGTGCAGAGGAGAAGAATGTGTATTATGCAGCTGTTGGATGAAATTTTCTGTAAATATCTATTAGGTTCATTTGTTCTATAGTACAGATTAAGTCTGATGTTTCTTTGTTTATTTTCTGTCTGGAAAGTCTGTCCAATGACTAAAGTGGGGTGTTGAATTGTCCTGCCAATATTGTATTGAGGTCTCTTTCTTTAGCTCTTATAATATTTGCTTCATTTATCTAAGTGCTTTAGTGTTGGGTGCATATATATTTTCAATTATTATATCCTCTTGATGAATTGATCTCTTTATTATTATATAATGACCTTTTAATTTCTTCCTACAGTCTTTTGTTGAAATCTATTTTTGTCTGGTATAAGTATGGCTAGTTCTGCTCTTTTTGGTCTCTATTGGCATGGAATAACTTTTTTCATCCTTCTATTTTCAGTCTAAATGTATCTTTATAGATAAAGTGTGTTTTTTTTTGGTAGGTCACAGATTATTGTCCTGCTTCTCTATCTATTCATCCACTATTTTTCTTTTGACTGGTGTATTTAGTTCATTTAAATTCAATGTTATCAGTGATAAGAACTTACTCCTGCCATTTTTTTATTTTTTTCTCATTGATTTTTGTCCTCTCTTCCTTCTTCCCTTTCTTCCTGTCTTCCTTTTAGTGAAGGTGATTTATCTTGAATTATAATCTAATTTCTTGCTTTTTACTTTTTGTACATCTGTGGTACACTCTTTGATTTGAAATTATCATGAGGCTTGAAAATAACATAATACATTATTTTAGACTGTGGACAATTTAACATTGATTGCATAAACAAAGAAACAAGCAAAACGGAGGTTGGAGCCAAGATGGCTGATAGCAGCAACTCCAGTCTACAGCTCCCAGAATGAGCAACACAGAAGATGGGTGATTTCTGCATTTCCCAATGAGGTACCGGGTTCATCTCACTGGAGAGTGTCAGACCGAGGGTGCAGCACAGTGGGTGCAGTGCACCGAGCATGAGCAGAAGCAGGGTGAGACATCACCTCACCTGGGAAGCACAAGGGGTCAGGGAATTCCTTTTCCCAGTCAAAGAAAGTGGTGACAGATGGCACCTGGAAAATTGGGTCATTCCCATCCTAATACTACACTTTTCCAATTGTCTTAGCAAAAGTCACTCCAGGAGATTATATCTCATGCCTGGATTGGAGGGTCCTAGGCCCACAGAACCTCACTCATTGCTAGCACAGCAGTCTGAGATCAAACTGCAACGTGGCAGCAAGGCTGGGGAAGGGTCCCCTGCCATTGCTGAGGCTTGAGTAGGTAAAGCATCTGGGAAGCTCGAACTCGGTGGAGCCCAATTCAGGTCAAGGAGGGCTGCCTGCCTCTGTAGACTCTACCTCTGGGGGTAGGACATAGCCAAACAAAAGGCAGCAGAAATCTCTGCAGACTTAAATGTCCTTGTCTGACAGCTTTGAAGAGAGTAGTGATTCTCCCAGCTGCAGCTGGAGATCTGAGAACGGGCAGACTGCCTCCTCAACTGGGTCCCTGAACCCCGAGTAGCCCAATTGGGAGGCACACCCAGTAAGGGCGGACTGAAACCTAACATGGCTGGGTACTCCTGTGAGACAAAACTTCCAGAGGAATGATCAAGCAGCAGCATTTGTGGTTCACCAATATCCGCTGTTCTGCAGCCACTGCTGCTGATACCCAGGCAAACAGGGTGAGGAGTGGACCTTCAGCAAACTCCAACAGACCTGCAGCTGAGGGTCCTGACTGTTAGAAGGAAAACTAAGAAACAGAAAGGACATCCATGCAAAAAATCCATCTGTACATCAAAATCATCAAAGACCAAAGGTAGATAAAACCACAAAGATGGGGAAAAAACAGAGCAGAAACAATGGAAACTCTAAAAATGAGAATGCCTCTCTTCCTCCAAAGGAATGCATCTCCTCACCAGCAATGGGACAAATCCAGACGGAGAATGACTTTGATGAGTTGAGAGAAGAAGGCTTCAGATGATCAAATGACTTCAAGCTAAAGGAGAAACTTTGAACCCATGGCAAAGAAGTTAAAAAGCTTGAAAAAAAATTAGATGAATGGCTAAGTAGAATAACCAATGCAGAGAAGTCCTTAAAGGACCTGATGGAGCTGAAAACCATGGCACGAGAACCACGTGATGAATGCCCAAGCCTCAGTAGATGATTCAATCAACTGGAAGAAACGGTATCAGTGATGGAAGATGAAAGGCATGAAATGAAGTGAAAAGAGAAGTTTAGAGAAAAAAGAATAAAAAGAAATGAGCAAACCTCCAAGAAATATAGAACTATGTGAAAAGACCAAATCTACGTCTGATTGGTGTATCTGAAAGTGATGGGGAGAATAGAACCAAGTTGAAACACACACTGTGTATATTATCGAGGAGAACTTCCCCAATCTAGGAACGCAGGCCAACATTCACATTCAGGAAATACAGAGAATGCCAGAAAGATACTCCTCGAGAAGAGAAACTCCAAGACACATAATTGTCAGATTCACCAAAGTTGAAATGTGGAAAAAATGTTAAGGGCAGCCAGAGAGAAATGTCAGATTACCCACAAAGGGAAGCCCTTCAGAGTAACAGCTGATCTCTTGGCAGAAACTCTACAAGCCAGAAGAGTGGGGGCCAATATTCAACATTCTCAAAGAAAAGAATTTTGAACCCAGAATGTCATATACAGCCAAACTAAACTTCGTAAGTGAAGGAGAAATAAAATCCTTTACAGACAAGCAAATGCTGAGAGATTTTGTCACCACCAGACCTGCCCTAAAATAGCTCCTGAAGGAAACACTAAAAGTGGAAAAGAACAACCTGTACCAGCCACTGCAAAAACACCAAATTGTAAAGACCATCAATGCTAGGAAGAAACTGCATCAACCAATGAACAAAATAACCAGCTAATATCATAATGACAGGATAAATTTCACACATAGCAATATCAACCTCAAATGTAAATGGGCTAAATGCTCCAATTAAAAGTCAAAGATTGTCAAATTGGATAAAGAGTCAGGAACAATCAGTGTGCTGTGTTCAGGAAACCTATCTCATGTGCAGAGACACACACAGGCTCAAAATAAAGGGATGGAGGAAGATCTACCAAGCAAATGGAAAACAAAGAAAGGCAGGGGTTGCAATCCTAGTCTCTGATAAAACAGATTTTAAACCAGTGAAGATCAAAAGAGACAATGAAGGCCATGACATAATGGTAAAAGGATCAATCCAACAAAAAGAGCTAATTATCCTAAATATATATGCACCCAATACAGGAGCACCCAGATTCATAAAGAAAGTACTTAGAGACCTACAAAGAGACTTAGACTCCCACACAATAATAATAGGGGGGTTTAACACCCACTGTCAATATTAGACAGATCAATGAGAAGGAAAGTTAACAAGGATATCCAGGAATTGAACTCAGCTCTGCACCAAGCGGACCTAATAGACATCTACAGAACTCTCCAGCCCAAATCAACAGAATATACATTCTTTTCAGCACCTCACTACACCTATTCCAAAGTCGACCACATAGTTGGAAGTAAAGCACTCTTCAGCAAATGTAAAAGAGCAGAAATTATAACAAACTGTCTCTCAGACCACAGTACAATCAAACTAGAACTCAGGATTAAGAAACTCACTCAAAACTGCTCGACTACATGGAAACTGAACAACCTGCTCCTGAATGACTACTGGGTATATAACGAAATGAAGGCAGAAATAAAGATGTTCTTTGAAACCAAAGAAAACAAAGACACAACATACAAGAATCTTTGGGACACATTCAAAGCAGTGTGTAGAGGGAAATTTATAGCACTAAATGCCCACAAGAGAAAGCAGGAAAGATCTAATACGGCACCCTAACATCACGATTAAGAGAACTAGAGAAGCAAGAGCAAACACATTCAGAAGCTCATAGAACGCAAGAAATAACTAAAATTAGAGAAGAACTGAAGGAAATAGAGATACAAATACCCCTTCAAAAAGTCAACGAATGCAGGAGCTGGTTTTTTGAATAGATCAACAAAATTGATAGACTGCTAGCAGACTCATAAAGAAAAAAACAGAGAAGTCTTAAACAGATGCAATAAAAAATGATAAAGGTGATATCACCACTGATCCCACAGGAATACAAACTACCACCAGTGAATACTATAGAAACCTTTATGCAAATAAACCAGAAAATCTAGAAGAAATGGATAAATTCCTGAACACATGCACCCTCCCAAGACTAAACAAGGAAGAAGTTGAATCTCTGAATAGACCAATAACGGGCTCTGAAATTAAGACAATAATCAATAGCTTACGAATCAAAAAAGCCTAGGACCAGATGGATTCACAGCCGAATTCTACCAGAGGTACAAGGAGGAGTTATTACCATTCCTTCTGAAACTATTCCAATCAATAGAAAAAGAGGGAATCCTCCCTAACTCACTTTATGAGGCCAGCATCATCCTGAGAGCAAAGCCGGGCAGAGACACAACACAAAAAGAGAATTTTAGACCAATATCCTTGATGAACATTGATGCAAAAATCCTCAACAAAATACTGGCAACCCGAATCCAGCAGCACATCAAAAAGCTTATCCACAATTATCAAGTGGGCTTCATCCCTGGGATGCAAACTGGTTCAACATAGGCAAATCAATAAATGTAATCCAGCATATAAACAGAACCAAAGACAAAAACCACGTGATTATCTCAATAGATGCAGAAAAGGCCTTTGACAAAATTCAACAACATTCATGCTAAAAACTCTCAATAAATTAGGTATTGATGGGACGTTTCTCAAAATAATAAGAGCTATCTATGACAAACCCACAGCCAGTGTCATACTGAATGGGCAAATACTGCAAGCATTCTCTTTGAAAACCGACAGAAGATAGGGATGCCCTCTCTCACCTCTCCTATTCAATATAGTGTTGGAAGTTCTGGCCAGGGCAATCAGGCAGGAGAAGGAAATAAAGGGTATTCAATTAGGAAAAGATGAAGTCGAATTGTCCCTGTTTGCAGATGACACGATTGTATATCTAGAAAGCCCCATTGTCTCAGCCCAAAATCTCCTTAAGCTGAATCGCAACTTCAGCCAAGGCTCAGGATACAAAATCAATGTAAAAAGTCAGAAGCATTCTTATACACCAATAACAGACAAACAGAGAGCCAAATCATGAGTGAATTCCCATTCACGATTGCTTCAGAGAGAATCAAATGCCTAGGAATCCAACTTACAAGGGATGTGAAGGACCTCTTCAGGGAGAGTTACAAACCACTGCTCAATGAAATAAAAGAGGATACAAACAAATGGAAGAACATTCCATGCTCATGGGTAGGAAGAATCAATATCGTGAAAATGGCCATACTGCCCAAGGTAATTTATAGATTCAATGCCATCCCCATCAAGCTACAAATGTCTTTCTTCACAGAATTGGAAAAAAGTACTTTAAAGTTCATATGTTTACTCTTTCTATTTGAGATTTTTGCACCCCATAATTACCATGTTATAATATTCAGTGTTTTTCCATGTGCTATTGCTAGTGAGTTCTGTACCTTCAGATGATTTCTTCTTGCTCACTTTTTTTCTTTTAGGTTAAGATATCCCTTTAGCATTTCTTGTAGGACAGGTCTGGTGTTAATGAAATCCCTGTTTTTTTTTTTTTTTTCTGTCGGGAAAAGTTCTTATTTTTCCGTCAAATTAAAGGACGTTTTTGTCAGATACATTATTCTAAAGTAAAAGTCTTTTTTTCTTTAGCTTTTTTAATACGTCATGCCAGTCTCCCAGCCTGTAAATTTTCCCCTGAAAAGTCTGCTGTCAGATGTATTGGAGTTCCACTGAATGTTATTTCTTTCTCTTCTCTCGATGCTTTTAGAATCATTTCTTAATCCTTAATCTTTGGGAGTTCAGTTACGTGACTTCAGGTGGCTTCTTTAGGTTAAATCTGCTTTATGTTCTGTAACTTTCTGTTACTCGAATATTGATATCAAATGTTGAGGAATTGTTTAATATTATTTATTTAAATAAATGTTCAACTCATCTCTTTTTCTACCTCCTCTTTAAGGCCAATAACTCTTAGATTTGCTATTTTGAGGCTATTTTTTAAATTCTACAGACGTGCTTTATTTTTTATTCTTTTTTGTCTCCTCTGACTTTGTATTTTTAAATAGTCTGACTTCAAGTTCACTAAATCTATCTTCTCCTTGTTCAATTCTTTTAAGTAATTCTGATCCATTCTTCAGTATGACAATAGCATTTTAACTTCAGAATTTCTGCTTTATTCTTTTTATTTCAATCTCATTGTTAAATTTATCTGATAGAATTTTGAATTCCTTCTCTGTGTTATATTGTACATTTCTTTGAATTACCTCAACCAGCTATTTTGGATTTCCTGTATGAAAAGTCACATATCTCTGTTTTTCCAGGATTTGTCCCTGATGCTTTATTTAGCTTGTTTGGTGAGGTCATGTTTTCCTGGATGGCCTTGATACTTGTAGATGTTCATCTGTATCTGGGCATTGAAGAGTTCAGTCTTTATTGTAGTTTTCACAGCCTGGGTTTGTTAGTGCCCATTATCTTTGGGAACACTTTCCAGGTATTCAAAGAAACTTGGGTCCCAAACCCAATAGCACGGTAGTTTATGCAAACACATAGAGGTACTGCCTTGGTAGCCTTGGATTAACATCAAGAAAAATTCTCTTGATTTATCAAGTAGAGACTCTTGTTCTCTTCCCTTACTGTCTCTCAAATCATCAGTCTCTCTTTCTGTGCTGAGACATGTGAAGCTGGGGCTGGGGTAACATAAGCACTCCTGTGGCCACCACCACTGAGACTGTGCTGGTTCACACCTGAAGTAGGCACAGAACTTGGTCTCATGCAAGGCCCACTGCAACCACTACTTGGCTACCATATAAGTTTATTCAAAGCCCTAGGACTCTGTGATTAATAGGTGGCAAAGCCAGCCAGGTTTGTGTCTCTGCCTATAGGGTGGCAATTTCACCTAGCCATGATTGGGTCCACAGATGCTACTTGGGAGCCAGAGATTAAAGCATAGAATCTTCAAAATTTACCTTCTCTTCTATTTTACTGTAGCAAACCTGGCACTTTGGGAATAAGACAAAGTATTTTCTACTCTTTCTTCCCCGGTCTGCAGGCAGAAGAGCCTCTTTTATGACTGCCAACACTACTGGCTCATGGGGGATTTCCACCAAATCATCATCACTTTCTCAATTAAAGCACAAGGACTCTTTAATTAGCTTGTGATAAATTCTGCAATGCCTGAGACTCAACCTTTGGCCCAGGGCAAGGGCAGAGATGTTGACCAAGAAGACCCTAGGCCTGGACTCAGGGACTCTAAGAATCTGCTTGGTGCTCTACCCCACTGTGGTTGAGCTGGCATATCATGTGCAATGCAGAGGTCCCTTTACTTTCCCCCCTGCTTTTCTCAAACAGAAGTCTTTCACCATAGCTACCACAGCTGGAAATGTACTGGGTCACACCTGAAGTTAGCGCTTCTCAGAGCCCAATGCCCATGGTGTATTACCTGGTTGTCACTGTTTTTTATTCTGGGTACAGGGGTTCTTTAGTCAGCAGGTGATGAATTCTGCCAGGTCTTTACTGACATGGCAGCACTGAGTTTAATGTAATGTCCTCCAGTCACTGTGCCCTCCCTCTCCCAAATTCACTGGTTTCTCTGTGTTGTGTGGCTGCTGCTAGGTGGGAGTGGAGGATTGGTGTTGTGAGCACTCCCTTAGCTCTGGCTGCTGTCTCAGTAGACCCCATTTTCCCCACCCTCCACATTCCACTGGCTCTGAGCCCAGCTCGGAATATGACTTGCCTAATAATTGAAGTCCTTGTGGCCTAGACTGCCCCTTAAGTTCTCCTAGAGTCCAATAGCACTTCAACTCATGATGGCAAGACTTGTAAAAACTCAAGCTCCCAACACTAGGATGGGAGGTTTTCCTCTTTCTAAGGCCAATACAAGTGCTCCCACCATTGGCAAATGTCAGCTGAGTACAGCCTGGTTCTGCTTTTCACTGTGAGGGGGTAGTACTGAATTTTTTGCAAAGCCTCACGAACTATGCTCTCCCTCTCCCAAACATAGTATCTCGGCACCATGTAGTCACTACTGGTGGTTGAAAAAGAGGTAGCATCCGTGCTTCTAGACTGTCTCTTATTTGTTTGTCTTCTCCAATGTCTGTTTCAGTGATTTGAAGTTAATACCAGGTACTGGGATTGCTCACCCAATTTTTGGTCCCTTTGACATTGATTCGTGA
Source organism: Homo sapiens (assembly GCF_000001405.40). Lineage (NCBI taxonomy): Eukaryota > Metazoa > Chordata > Mammalia > Primates > Hominidae > Homo > Homo sapiens. The sequence goes on along the minus strand of NC_000024.10, from coordinate 10,105,646 downwards.
ATGTAGTGAGTTGTGAAAATTTGGTGTTTTTGTGTGGTGGATGGGAATGTAGGCCTCTATTCTGCCCTCTTATTCTGTCTCTGCCTTAAATTTTTTAGATTCAGGGAGTATATTTGCAGGTTTGTTACATGGATATATTGTGTGATGCTGAGCAATGTGGGATATTACTGATCCCATCACCTACGCAGTAAGCATAACACTCATAGTTTCTCACCCCCTGCCCTCCTCCTTCCCTTCTTCATCTAGCAGTTTTCAGTGTCTATTGTTGGTGTCTTTGTATTCATGAGTACCCCATGTTTAGATCCTACTTATAGGCAAGAACATGTGGTATTTGGTTTTCTGTTCCTGTATTAATTTCCCTAGGATAATGGCCTCCAGAAGTATGCATGTTGCTGCACAGGACACAATTGTATTCTTTTTAATGTGTGCATAGAATTTTATGGTGTATATGTGACACATATTTCTAACCAATTTATTGATTCACAGATAAGTTAATTCCATGCCTTCCCTATTGTGAATAGCAAAATGATGCATATACAAGTGGATGTGGGGTTTCTTTTTGTAGAATTTTAAATTTTCTTTTGGATATATACTCAGTAATGGAATTGCTGGTTGAATGGTACTTCTGTTTTAAATTCTTTGAAAAATCTCCAGACTGCTTTTCACAGTGGCTGAACTAATTTACATTCTCACCAACAGTGTATAAACATTTCATTTTCCCTGAAGTCTAAACAGAATGTCTTTTTTTTACTTTTTAATAGTAGCCATTCTGACTAATATCAGATGGTATCTCACATTGATTTGCATTTCTCTGATGATTAGTGATGTTGAACATTAAGAAAACAACCCCATTAAAACATTGACAAGGGACATAAGGAGACATTTCTCAAAAGAAGACGAGCCAGGCACAGTGGCTCACGCCCATAATCCCAGCAATTTGGGAGGCTGGGGTGGGCGGATCACAAGGTCAGGAGATCGAGACCATGCTGGCTAACACGGTGAAACCCTGTATCTACAAAAAATACAAAAAAATTAGCCGGGTGTGGCGGCGGGCGCCTGTAGTCCCAGCTATTCCGGAGGCAGAGGCAGGAGAATGGCATGAACCTGGGAGGCAGAGCTTGCAGTGAGCCAAGATCGCACCACTGCACTCCAGCCTGCATGACAGAGTGAGACTCCGTCTCAACAAAAAAAAAAAAAAAAAAAAAAAAAAAATACAGAAGTGGTATTCTTATTCTATCACAATAAGCTGCATTTCCTTTGCAAATATAAGATCAAACCATTTGAAAAATCACTTTAATTGAAGGGATTGACAGTATGTTTCCCCTTCTCTATCTCTTTTCCTCTTTTGTGATTTTTTTTCTGATCACTATGAATCCACTCAGCAGAGTAATCTCCATTCTTAATCTGTGTGAATTGTGGTGATGAGTTAGTCACCTCTCTTAAAATCACTAACCAAAAAGTTTTAAATTTCCTAGTTAGTAATACATTTTTAGCATGTCAGAAGATACTCTTAGAACAAAGACTTCTGGTCCAGGCACTATGGATTATGATGATTAGTTCTCTGGATTTCTATAAGCTTTGAAATTAAGAGGTAAAAATCTAAAATAAATTGGGCTTCATACTATTTATACATTTATTGGGTTTGTTAATTATTCCATAGGAAAACGGATGAAAGACTTTTGTAGAATTCAATTCTTCTTCACCATATTTAGGGTTAAAAGAAGGGAATTATATTGATGTAATTGACAGACTGAATTAACCTCAGTCATCACATGTTATTTTTCTAGAGTTTGTTTAATGGTGCTGACATTCTCTTCAATATATCCGTGCTTAGCTTGGGTTTCTGGGGGAGAGATGAGTAGCTAAGACTGCCCATCTAATGCATAATTTTCATTAGTTGGAATAATGGTGTGATATGATAGCCTTCAAGATGATGCCCTCAATTTCTTTCCTCCTTACATGCACATGCTGCTCTTTACATTGACAGAGTCAAATCTCCCATTTCTTGAATCTGTGCTGGTCACACTGACTTGCTTTATCAATAGGATGGAGCAGAAGTTGTATTCTAGGACCTCCAAGGCTAGGTCCTAAGAAGCTTTGTAGTATTTGCCTGTGTGTCTTGGGACCAACTACCACGTTGTGAGCACTCCAGATAACATAGAGAGGTCAGATAGGCATCACACTCAGCAGCCAATATGCACTGCCAGCCATATGAGTGACCTGTCTAGGCTCTTTAGCCTAGTTGAGCTTTCAGGTGAGTTCAGCAGCAGCCAACCAACTGCAACCGCAAGAAAGACTCCAAAAGAGAACTTTTGTAGTGCCCATCAACCCACAAAACCACGAGAAACAGCATTATTTAAAATCACTAAACAAATAATAACAAGAAACAATTAAACAATAAATAATTCCTTAAGTTTTGGAATGGCTTACTATTGAGCAAGAGATAGCTAGAACAAGTACTAAATATTGCACAATACTGAATAAGTGTAAGTTTAGTTGTATAATATACTTCTACATTTTAAAGCCATTGACATTTCTGGAAAGAGTGCAAAAGTGAGCACTGATTAAATGGTTCCCAAGAGAAGTTGTCTGTTGTATTTCAACATCATCATTTGCCAATGGGAGCTGTATTTTGTTTTGAGAAAATATATATTTTTATGTTCATTTTTAAAAATATACTAACAATTTTTTAGAAAGGCATATGCTATTTTGAAAAAAATTTGAGCAAACCAGAGAAGTGTAAACTTTAAGGCTCTAATCATATTTGTATGCTATTTAACCCATAAATCCAAAGTCTGATGACAAAGTCTGATGTTTATCTAATACTGATATTTGGATAAATAAGTTAAGCTAACAATTTTCCTTTTAAATGATAGGCCTTATAACTAGTATGATGTTATGATGTCTGCCGTGGATGGGCTCAAACCATAATAATATTTTCTCTTTAATACTTATTTAGAACATTAAGTGAGAACCAGAGAGTCTAAAACTGGGTTACACAGCAGTAATAAAATCAGAGTGACACTTACTTTGCAGCAGCAGGACTGGAATTCTTGCTGTTGGGGTTGGTGGCAGCAAGCTCAATTATAGGTGTCTCCTGCTTCATGCTTGGATGGTGTGTTGGAACATTTCCTGTTTAGAACTTTCTAACACTTCCTGACTAGAGCTGTTTAAAATAGAAACAGACCCCTCTGATTTTGAATGTAGCCTATTTATTATTATAATTTGTTCATATGTTTCTACTTTTTAGATTGTGGCTTTCTTGTAGACAGAAATTGTATCTTATACCTCCTTTACTTCAGCAGCCGTGTGCTTGGCACCAAGTTGAATTGTCAGGTTCGTTGAATAAGGAAAGTAAAATTATACTAGAATTAAACCATTAAATTCATCAATTTTACTCAGAAAATATATAGCTAAGTATGACGTATGAATCAATTCAGTCACTGATTCAACAAACATTTTTTAAGTGACTACAGTATGCTATGAGCTAGGAATATGGCAGTAAACAAATCTCACCTTGTCTTAAACTTCAGTGGATCCAGAAGTCTCTAGAAGTTTAATTCTTGCTCAATCAGCAATTCCTTTTCACTGAAGACTTGACAAAAAGGTTTGAGAAGGCAAGAGTGTGTGAACTCAACAGATGTTTGTGATGCACCTACTGTGTGCCAGAAGCTGTAGTGTCACAGGGTCTGCCTGTGTCTCCTAGGAAAGGTGAAAACTAAGGAAAATATTTTAAACAACAAATAATGCCAAGTATGCATTGTGATGGAGAGGGAAAGCGCTGGATCCCAAGAGTATAACAGGCACTGAGCCTAGCATAGGGTCCAGGCATCTCTGGCATGGTGCCCTCCTAGGTCGTGGTTGTCCTTCCTTGTTGTTCCTGCTGTCTGCTTCAGTTACATCTGCTTCTCTGCATTTCTTCATTTTACAGTGTGTGGGATGCAGTCATCTCTGAACAGGAATAGGCAACTGTCCACCTGTTATGCCATGCTTGACGCTCTGCATTGATGTACACTGGGCCCAAGTTTCCCTGGTGGACTGCTTGGGCCATTCTTGTCATCTGGCTCTGAAGTCTTTGTTCACAGAGGTGCACTTGCCAGATGGGGAAGCCAGAGATCTTGGGTCTTCTGATGAGGCCACTCTCACCCTGCTTATCTTCCCTGACATAGATAACAGATGAAGCTCAGGTGGGCGATGCACCTCAGGCCACAGTGTGGACTGTTGTAACCAAGCGAGTTATAGAGGAACGCCACACTTTGAGACAAATTAAGGAATCCTTTATTAGCCAGCGACGGAGAGGCAGCTAACGCTGAAAATTCTCTTGGCCCCGAGGAAGGGGCTGATTTTGTTTTTATTCCGTGGTCTAAATAGGGGAGGGGGGAGTTTAACTGAAACAATTTTTACTGAAGCAGAGCTGGCAAATAGTTAAAAAATTAATTGGTTACAAAAGCAGTTACACAACAAAGAAACAGTTCCAGGTGCAGGGACTTAAACTATCACAAAGAGAGAAATGCAGGGGTTTTGGGTGACATTCACCAAGCACGTCCCTAGGAGCTGCTGGTGCAGCTTGCCTCAATATCTTATCAGTATGTGCATTCCTGGATGTGCTTTGAGTCAGTTTACACTAGTTATGCCCTTAAGGGAGGGAGGTAAAGGGGGTTGCACGTGAAGAAACTAAAATAGAGTCTGTCTGGCTCTCTCTCTGCTAGGGGAGAGTCACTCAGGTTAAAACAAGGTAAGGTATCATAGAACCATGTACAATTCTTCAAACTCCAGCTTCAACTCTCTTTCTTATTGCTCTCTTAGGACAGAATATTTAGATCAGAATAAATGAAAGTAATGTTATTAGGAGATAAGATTAAAATTGATCCCATCTGTAAAAAGGGAAGTAGATTATTTGTGAACTGTAATACTTTTTCTTAGTGAAGAATCACCTTAAAACTTGGAACCTCGATACAAGATAATTCCTTCATTCTGCAAAAGTTTAGTAGCAAACTATATACCAAGACTGTGCTAGGTACTAGGGATACATGGTTGAATACATGGTATAAGATGCCATGGAGAGTCAGATAGTTTCATATAAATGGCTCATGCAGTATAGAGACAGTGTGGTAAAAAGAGGCTACTGAGATGCACAGAGGACAGACAATAAAGCATCTTTGAATGGTAGATAAATGTGTTTGGACTTTTCACTCAGGGCTGTTGAAGTTTTTGAAGGTCAGTGGTCTCAGAGTTTTGGTGTTTTCAAGCCCTGCTAAGTTCTTTGTTTCTAGCTGATGATTGGCCACCATTACTGATCATCCATTGGCTCTGTCTGATTCAGCAATCCCACCACTGAGTATTTATGCAAAGGAAAAGAAATCAATCTATCAGAAAGATAACTATACTTGTGTATTTGTTGCAATACTATTCACAGTAGCACAGATATAAAATCAACCTAAATGTCCATCAACAAATGATTGGAGAAAGAAAATGTAGAAAATATACACAATGAAATACTACTCAGGCATAAAAAACAATAGAATCATAACTTTTTTGCAGACACATGGATGAAACTGGAGGCCATTTTTGTAAGTGAGGCAAGCCAGACACAGAGTAAACATCATATTTTATCACTCATTAGCAGGTGCTAAAAGATGTGTAGATATTGATGTAGAGAGTGGAATAATGGAGACTCAGGAGGGTGAGGGGATGGAAGGGGTGAACAGTGAGAAATTACTTAATGGGTACAATGTGCATTATTCTGGTGATGGATACCTAAAAGCCCTGAGTTCACCACTATGCCATCCATGCTTACAGCAAAATTGCACTTGGAACCCATACATTTATACACAAACAGTCTTAGAACTCTCTCTCTTCTCTCATAAGACTCAGAGCTCAATGATCCCCTTGGATCTCCTCAGACTGCTGAGTTTTGATTTTCCTACCTAAGGTGATTTTGGGCAGAGACAAGGGAGTGTTTCAGGAAGATATTCGCAGGCACACGCTTCTAAAGAATCATTGGAGGCTCTTCAAGGGGCCTTTATCTAGTCACTGCTTTAAGCAAGGAATAAAACATCTGTGGCTAAAATTTGTAAAACTTTGTTTCCCATCCACATTCAGACCTGAGAGAAGAGATTTTAGGATTTTAAGGGAACAGCTTTTTCCTGACCCAAAAGTGCATAGTAGTGCAAAGGCCAATGTCACATAAGTACCTTTTCCCCATCTGTAAAATAACTTGCAGATACTATTCCCACAGCTGGAATCAGTACAATGTTTTGACTGAGGTATTGGAAACACCTATGAGCTCATTATCATTTGAACATATGAGTAAAATTTAGGCAGAATTTTATTTGAAATGATTATTTATGCAATTTTTAATTGACTGATTTATTTTGTGGTTATTTCAAACAATAAAAATCAGTTAATTGTGTTGTAAGAAATATTTACAATAACACTTGGTCTTGATTATCTCACATGATGAATTGAAGATTAAAGCAAAATAATTTATCTTAGGGAATTCTGTGACAGTTTCTCTTTCACTTTGCTTTAATAATGACTTCAAACTGTCGTACATATATAGAGAACTCCTGACTAAAGAGAATTGTTTTGACTATTGTGCTATGTTTTTGTAACTCTTTAAGATCTAGAGGAACATACATTTAGTCTCAGTTGGCCAACTAAATGTTATGGAGTCAGCTTCTGTGTTATGTGCTGAGCATTGAAGGATCGGTGGAAACAAGGCTGCTGCTCTCACAGAGTCTGCAGAGAAAACCTGATGGAGTGTGTCAGGGAACATGCTGGGAGCATCCCAGGATGCCAAAAGCACACACAGATGGAACACCTGCCTTAGAACAGGGGAGGGTCAGACAAGGAGAAGTGTCAGGAAAAACAAGGAAAGTTTAAAATGCAGGAATAGAAACACACTTGAGAAATCCATGGGGAATGAAAAGAGAATGGCTGAGCAGCAGCAGATCGTGAAAAAGGAAATCAAGAAGGAGCAGCCAAAGAGGTTGATGGAGAACCAGGAGAAAGAAGGTGACACTGATGCCAAGGGAAGGAAAATGTTTCAACAATTCTGGAAAAAATGACATGCTCTGTCTTAACCTTGCTGTTTTATGAGTCATATAGCCGCATTCCAGGTTCTGAGAAGTCCAGAACTAAAGATGTTTCTTTTAGTTAGCTTAACCCAGAATTTGCCAGAATAATCTGGGCTCAGTGTGAATGTGTGTGCATGTGTGTACCTGTGTGTTCTACTAATAACTCACTGAGGCTAGTGCTGTATACAACATAATTTTTAAAACACTGGTTTTATCCATCTTTTTGTTCAGCTGCAGCAACACTTACAAAGGTCAACTTTGATCATGTCTCTTTGTTACTAAAGGAAACAAAACCAACTAATGAATAAAGCCCACCTGGCAGTGGCTCCTCACTACCTGTATGATGGAGCCCACCTGGCTTCGCCCTGTGCTGACCTGGCTGTGCTGTCTTCTGCCTGCTGCTTTGCCTCCCCTTTCCTCCTGGAGAAGGTAGAGATGCTCTGAGCTTTGGCCCATCTGGAGCATGTGTCCTTTCCCTCATGTGTCCCATGTTTTCCTGAGTCCACTTTAATCTCGTTTAAGGGTATAGAACTTTTCTTAAAGCTTTTGGTCAGGTCTTACTCTCTATGCTGTCTTTCTGCCACTTCTACACTGTACATACTTTACTGATACATTAATTATGCTATACCAGCCCAGGTTTTTACTTCTATATCTTTTTATATCATCATATTTTTTCTTAGAGCTTAGTTCACTTATTTATTCAGTCTTTCCACAATGTAATTGTGTCATATAATTTCATATTCATTTTCATTGGTGTTTATATATCTTTTCTGTAAAAATGGAGGCTTTCTAAATAGATCTTCATTAATGTTGAAAGAACAAGGTTTTAAGTCTTGGTCTTAGCTAAAAGGAGTTCCCCACATTACCAGGAGGGAAAGAAACACTTGCATTGTTGCATTAGATATTCTTACAGAGAAAGAACCATGTGTAACGGAAAATTGCTAACTTTGCCTCAGGAAGAACAGGTTGATTCACTGAGAAAGTTTCAATTGGTTTAGAAGGCATAGTTCTGAGTTTTCTAGAAGGACAAAAGTTAGAGTGGGGCATAAGAAGTAATGCCCATATCAAAAAATTAGAAATATCTCAAATTAACAACCTAACACCACAACTGAAAGAATTAGAGAAACAAGAAGAACTCAACCACAAAGCTTATAGAAGACAAGAAATAACTAAAACCAGAGCTGAATTGAAAGAAATTGAGACATGAAAAACTGTTCAAGAGATCACTTAATCAAGGTTTTTTGAAAAAATTAATAAGATAGATAGGGCACTAGCTAGACTAATAAAGAAGAAAAGAGAGAAGATTCAAATAAACAAAATTAGAAATGATGAAGGGAATGTTACCACTGACCCCAGGGAAATAAAAATAACAACCAGCAACTACTACGAGCACCTCTATACACACAAACTAGAAACCCTAGAAGAGATTAATAAATTCCTGGACACATATACTCCTCAAGACTGAACCAGGAAGAAATTCAGTCTCTGAATAGACCAATTATGAGCTCCAAAAATTGAATCTGTAATAAATAGCCTACCAACCCCCCGAAAAAGCCCAGGACCTGGTAGATTAACAAATTTTAACAGATGTACAAAGGAGAGCCAGAACCAGTCCTACTGATACTATTTCAAGAAATAGAGGAGGAGGGGGTCTTCCCCAACTTGTTCTATGAGGCCAGAATCATCCTGATACCAAAGCCTGGCAGTGACACAACAAAAAAAGAAAACTTCAGGCCAGTATCCTTCCTGAATATCCATTCAATAACCCACAACAAAATACTTGCAAACTGAATCTAGCAACATATCAAAAGGCTAATTCACCATAGTGAAGTAAGCTTCTTCCCTGGAATGGAAGGTTGGTCCACCATGAGCAAATCAATAAAATGTGATTCATAACATAAATAAAACTAAAGATAAGAACCACGTGATTGTCTCAACGGATGCAGAAAAAGCTTTCAGTAAAATTCAACAAAACTTCATGTTAAAAATTCTCAATAAATGAGGTATCAAAGGAACATATCTCAAAATAATAAAGGCCACCTATGACAAACTCACAGCCAACATTATACTAAATGGGCAAAATGTGGAAGCATCCTCCTTGAAACCCGCACAAGACAAGGATGCCCTCTCTCACCACTGCTATTCAACATAGTATTAGAAGTCCTTTCTGGAGCAATCAGACAAGAGAAAGAAATAAAGGGTATCTAAATAGAAAGAGAAGTCCAACTACCTCTGTTTGCAGACAACATAATTCTCCATCTAAACCCTATAGTTGTGACCCAAAAACTCCTTAAGCTGATAAACAACTTTCACAAAGTTTCAGGACACAAAATCAATATACAAAACTTGCTAGCATTCCTATACACCAAGAAGAGCCAAGCTAAGAACCAAATCAGAGAGGCAATTTTATTCACAAATTCCATGAAAAGAATAAAGTACATACGAATACAGCTAACAAGGGTGGTGAAAAATCTCTACAATGAAAATTACAAAACACTGCTCAGAGAAGTCAGAGAAGACACAAATAAATGAAAAATCATTCCATGTTAATGCAGAGAAAGAATTAATATCATTTAAATGGTGTACTGCCCAAAGCTATTCCTATTAAACTACCAATGACATGCTTCACAGAAGTAGAAAAAAGCTATTTAAAAATTCATATAGAACCAAGAAAGAACCTAAGTAGCCAAGGCAATCCTAAGCAAAAAGAACAAAGCTTGAGGCATCATATTACCTGACTTCAAAATATACTACAGCACTATAGTAACCAAAACAGCATGGTAGTAGTACAAAAACAGACACATACACCAGAGGAACAGAATAGAGAGGTTGGAGGTAAGACCACATACCTACAACTATCTAAGCTTTGACAAAGCTGGCAAAAACAAGCAAAGGGGAAAAGATTCCCTATTCAATAAATGGTGCTGGGATAACTGGCTAGCCATATGCTGATTGAAGTTGGACTTCTTCCTTATACCATACACCAAAATCAACTCAAGATGGATTAAATACTTAAATGTAAAACCCAAAACTATAAAAGCCCTGGAAGACAACCTAGACAATACCATCCTGGACATAGAAAGAGACAAAGATTTCATGATAAAGACACCAAAAACAACAAATACAACTATTGACAAGTGGGATCTAATTAAACTTAAAAGCTTGTGCTCAGCAAAAGAAATTATCAATAGAGTGAACAGACAACCTATAGAATGAGGAAAAAATATTTACAAACTATGTATCTGACAAAGATCTAATATTCAATATAAGGAATTTAAATTTACGAGAGAAAAACAAAAAACCCTATTAAAAAGTGGCCAAAGCCCTGACTTCTGAATGGCACTTCTGGACCCAGCCAGGGACTGAGGGATCTCACTGCCCTAAAGGAAAGAACACAGGCTTGGCTGGCTTTGCCACCTGATAATTGTAGAGACCAAAGGCCTTGAGTGAACATAGTCAGTTGTCAGAGAGTGCACGCAGCAGGATTTGAGCAAGACCCATGCTGTGCTAGCTTTAGGTCTGATCCAGGGCAGTCATAGTGGTGGTGGCCACGGGTGCTTGTGTCTTTCTTCTCCCAGCTTTAGGTGGCTTAGAACAGAGAGAAATACTCTGTATCTTTGAGAGAAAATAAGGGTAGGGAAAAAGAGTCTCTGGCTAGTAATCCAGAAAATTATCCTGGATCTTGTTGAAGGCTGTCAAGGTGGTGCTTCTCTGAGTCTGGAAGAAGTACAGCATTATTCGGTATAAGGTGCCCCATAAAGCAGATATGGCTTAGATCACAACACCCAACTCTTTTCAAATATGTGAAAAACCTTCCCATGAAAGACAGCTACAAATAAACCCGACATTGAAGACTACAATAAATACTCACCTTTTCTCTCTTTAAATTTTATTTTTTAAACCTCTCATATGGTGCTGCATGCCCAAGATTTTAATGTCCTGACACTGAAGAACATCTACTAGCATCAACACCATCCAGGAAAACATGACCTCACCAAGTGAACTAAATAAGGCACTGTGGACAAATCCTGGAGAAAAAGTGATATGTGACGTTTCAGACAGAGAATTCAAAATAGCTGTATTTTTTTAAAAAAAAAACTGAAAGAAATTTAAGATAACAAAGTAAAGAAATTCCAAATTTTATCAGCTAAACTCAACAAAGAGATTGAAATAGTTACAGCAAATTAAGCAGAAATTCTGAGCTGAAAAATGCAATTGGCATGTTGAAGAATGCATTAGAGCCATGTAATAGCAGAATGGATCAAGCAGAAGAAATAGTGAGCTTGAAGACGGCTCTTTGAAAATACATAGAAGAGACAAAAGAGAAAGAATAAAAACAACAAGTCATGCCAACAGGATCCAGAATATAGCCTCACAAAGACAGATCTAAGAGTTATTTGTTTTAAAGAAGATGTAGGGAAAGAGGCAGGGGAGGATCTAGAAAAGAGCCTCACAAAGACAGATCTAAGAGTTATTGGCTTTAAAGAAGATGTAGAGAAAGAGGCAGGGGTAGAAAAATTTATTCAGAGGGATAATCACAGAGAACTTTCCAAACCTAGAGAAAGATAACAATATCCAACTACAAAAATGTTATAGAACATTAAGCAGATTTAACCCAAAAAAGACTACTTCAAAGCATTCAATAGATCTTCCAAAAGTCAAAGATAAAGAAAAGTTCTAAAGGAAGAAAGAGAAAAGAAACAAATGACATACTGGGGAGCTCCAACACGTCTGGCAGCAGACTTTACGGTGGAAACTCTACTGGTCAGGAGAGAGAAGCAATAAATATTTAAAGTACTAAAGGAAAAAAAAACTTTTACCTTAGAATAGAATATACAGTGAAAATATTCTTCAAATAAAAAGAAGAAATACTAACTTTTTCAGACAAACAAAAGCTGAAGTATTTTATGAATACCACACCTGTCCTAAAGGAATGCTAAAGGAAGTACTTCAATCAGGAAGAAAAGAACATTAACGAGCAATAAATGATCACCTAAAGATAAAAAAAAAAATCCTCACTGCTAATAGGATACACAACAAAACAGAATATTATAACACTATAGCTGTGTGGTGTGCAAACTACTCTTATTCAAAGTCGGAATACTAAATAATATCCAAAAGTAATAACTACAACATTTCAAGACACAGCACAATAAAATATAAACAGAAACAACAAAAAGTTAAGTTAAGGGATGAGCGCGACCCGTCCTGAGCCGGCAGATGTGGTGGAAGCTCCGGAGCTGGGGAGCTGGAGGAAGAACTGGAGCGTGGGCGGAAAGGAGGCCGCCCCGAGAGCCGGAATCCTGGGCAGGGGACTGAGGCCTCTGGCGCCCGCCAGCAACAGCACGGCGGCGCCACGTTGGTCCTGCGCCAGGTCTGGCCGCCGGTGACGGCGGGACTCGCCAGGAGGCCGGCGGTACTCGGGTGTAGAGGGAGACAGCTGCCCTGGGGCAGAGGCGAGCGGCTCTGGGGGTCCCGGATCCGAGACCCGCTGCCCCGGGATGGCGGTGACGCCTGGAGTCGTTCGGGCATGGCTGGGACGGGCTCTTGGGGCAGCCAGGCGCCGCTGCTAGCGTCTAGGCCACACCACCCTGAACGCACCCGCTTGCCTCTGATCTGTTGAAGCTAAGCAGAGTCGGGCCTGGTTAGTACTTGGATGGGATTCCGCCTGGTAATAGCAGGTACCTTGGGCTTTTGGCTTCCCGCTCCCTCCCTCTTTCCCCCTCTAGTCTCAGTGCTTCACAACCCCGCCCCCGCCCTGCCTCTGCTCCCCCTTGACAGCCCACGCGTCCCAGCTGAAGCCCGGGACCTCCTCCTGAAGATCCGCGACTGCAGCACAGCCGGGCAGCAGCATCCCACCTCTTCCGACTCGCAGCAGCCCACCAGGAGCCTGGCTACAACCCGGGCGGGACGGGACCGACCCCGAGGGCGCAGGCGCGCGTTCCTGAGGTCGCAGGTGTCTTCAGGCTTCCTGGACTCCCAGGAAATTCTATTCATTCATCTAGCGCCGCTGCAATCGTCCAAGCCGGGGGAAGGGGCGGGCAGGGGCAGCGGGTCCCACAGACCCCAGCCAAGACCTCCGCTCCAGAACCCGTGGGCTGCTTTCCCCAGGGGAAGGACATTGTCTTCGCCAGCCACGAGGAAATCCGTGTCTGTGCACCTGGTTTCCCAAGGCCACCGACTTCGTGTAAACTCCAGTCCTGAGGACAGGAGAGAGACCCAGGCCTCACTGCGTGGACATGCTTGGCGCCACGGCTCCAGCCAGAGGGATGAGCACACTCTACAAATCTCGGGGCCCACTGCACCAAGGAGATAGAAAGAAACAAACAAAGGAAGAACCCTATGAAACGCTCCCCTGAAGCAACCAACCAATCCAAGGAAAAAAGAAAACACGTCTCAGGGCTCCTTTGGTTTTCCCACGTGGGGGGCCCTGACCCCCTGTTCTAGCCCAGCCCAAGCACCTTCCACCCCACCCCGGCCTGCTCAAAGGTGCTCTGTCTACCTGAGTAGAGACTCCCTTTCCATGACTCTGTCCCTCTCCCTCTACAACTCCCTCACCCTCTCCCTTTCTCTACTTCCCCCTCCACCTGGCGCTCTACTGTCGGGCTCTCTTTCCCTCCCCCTCTCTCTCCTCCCCCCTTCTCTGTCTCTGTATCGCTGTCTCTCTCGCTCTCCCTCTGGTTCTATTTCTCCATTCCTGTCTCCCTTGCTCTCCTGTAGCAGGAGGAGCCGCAGACAAAACCCTTCAGACACCGAGTTGTAGAAGGAAGGGCTTTATTCAGCTGGGAGCATCGGCACTCTCACATCTCCAAAAACCGAGCTCTCTGAGTGAGCAATTCCTGTCCCTCTTAAGAGCTTACAACTCTAAGGGGGTCCGCGTGAGAAGGTCCTGATGGATTGAGGAAGCAGAGGGTATGTGACTGGTGGCTGCATGCACCGGTAATTATATCAGAACAAAACAGGACAGGGATTTTCACAGTGCTTTTCTATACGATGTCTGTAATCTATAGATAACATAACAGAGTAGGTCAGGGGTCGATCTTTAACTACCAGGCCCAGGGTGTGGCGCAGGGCTGTCTGGCTGTGGATTTCATTTCTGCCTTTTAGATTTTACTTCTTCTTTCTTTGGAGGCAGAAATTGGGCATAAGACAATATGAGGGGTAGTCTCCTCCCTTACTTCAAGCTATCTGTGTCTGTGTCTTTGTGTGTCCGTGTGTGTGTGCCCAGGTGTGGTGTGTGTGTCCGTGTGTGTCTGTGCACGTGCACCTGTGTGTATCTCTGTGTGTGTGTGTTGGGGTGGGTTTGCTCGTGGTGGTGGTGGGGTGTGTCTTGGTGACTGTCAGCTCCTCTTTCTAGGGATCAGGCTGCTGGGGCTCTAGTGCCAGCACGGGGAAAAGCAGAGCCTTCCCTCCCCATTGGCCAAGGTCAGGTCCTCGTCGGGACAAGCGATAATGGTGTGGGCGTTGTGGGATAAAGGGCCCGTGGGGCTGGGCCGGCTGTTAGCCCCTGGGCAGCACTGGCAGCTCTGGGTGTGTGGGGTAAGAGGGGGCCTTGCAGGAGGGGAGGAGAGGGATCCAAAACAATTTTTCTGCTGCAAGGAGGAGGACCGGAGGGGATCCCAGGACCATGGGCCCTTGGCCCTGATGCCTCAGAGCACGTGCAGTCCTGAGCCAGCCCGATGTGTTGGAAGCTCTGGAGCTCCCCTGGAGCATCTGCAAAAAGGGAGGCCACCTGGTGTGCCTGGAACCTGGGCAGGGGACTGAGGCCTCTGGCTCTCCCGTGCAGCAGCAGGGCAGCACCATGGCGGTCCTGCACGTGGTCTGGCCGCAGGCGAGGTAGGTGGCTCTGGGAGGCCGGCAGAAGGCGCAGCACGGTGGCCAGTGGTGCTGGGGCCTTGATGGGGAGAGCAGCCCGGCTGCGAGCGAGCAGCTCTGGGGCCCTGGATCTGAGCCCCTTGGCCCCGAGGTGGCGGTGATGCCTGGAGTGGAGCAGACATGACTGAGCTGGGCTCCTGTGGCAGCCAGGTGCCACTGTGGGCCTTTATGGCCATACCACCCTGAACACATGGGATCTTGACTGATCTTGGAAGCTAAGCAGAGTCGGGCCTGCTTAGTACTTGGATGCGAGACCCCCTGTGAATACTGAGTGCTGTAGGCTTTTGGCTCCCCGCTCCCTCTTTCCCCCTTTTGTCGCCATGCTTCCCAACCACCCCCTGACTCTACTTCCACTTTTCCGTGCTCCACAACGCATAGGCTGCTTTCCACGGGGGAGGGACATTGCCTTCATCAGCCACCAGGAAAACCATCCCTGTGCACTTGGATTTCCACTGCCACTAACTTCGTGTGAAATCCATTCTCGAGGACACAAGAGAGACCCAGGTCTTGTGCACTGTGAGCATGCTCGGCATTATGGCTCCCGAAAGATGGACAGGCACACTCTGAAAATCTCAGAGCCTACCGCATCAAGAAGACAGATAGGAGCAAACAAAGGAAGGACCCTACCGAACACATCCCCAAAGTAACCAACCAACCCAAGAATAAACGTCTCAGGGCTCAGTTGGTCCTCTCCCTTGGACGGCCCTGCCCCCCTGTTTGGCCCAGCCCAAGCACCCTCCACCCTACCCTGGCCTGCTCAAAGGGGCCCTGTATATCTGGGGAAGAGCCTCCCTCTCCAAGGCTCAATCGCTCTTGCTCTCTGGCTCCCTCACCCTCTTTTCTTCCCCCTCCACCTCTCGCTCTTCTGTCACCTTCTCTCCCTGTCTCTCCACCCTCTCTGTCTCTATCTCTCCCTTTGTTTCTATCTCTCCATCCCTCTCTTCAAGCTGTCTGTGTCTTTGTCTGTGTGTGTGTCCATGTGTGTCCGTGTGCGTGTGTGCCTGCGTGCATGCACCCCTGTGTATCTGTTTGTGTGTGAGAGGATGTGTTTGCTCCTGGTGGTGGTGGGGTGTTTCTGGGTGTCTGTCAGCCCCTCTTTCCTGGGATCAAGCTGCCGGGGCTCTAATGCCAGTGCGGGGCAAAGTAGGGCCTTCCTGCTCTGTTGGCCATGGGCCAGGTCTTCCTTGGGACAAGCGACGATGGAGTGGGCATTGTGAGAAAAAGGGCCCGCAGGGCTGGGCCAGCTGTTCGACTCGGGCAGCCCTGGTGGTTCTGGGTGTGTGAGACAAGAGGGGGCCTTGCAGGAGGGGCAGTGAGGGATCCAAAACAATTTTTCCACTGCAAGGCAGAGGGCCAGAGGGGAACCCAGGACCCTGGGCCCTGGGCCCTAATGCCTTGGAGCACATCTTGTCCTGAGTGGGCCCCAGGTATTGGAAGCTCAGGAGCTCAAGAGCCAGGGGAAGGCCTGGACTGTCAGTGAGAGGGTGGCCGCCTGGGGAGTCCAGAGCCCTGGCAGGGGATGGAGGCCTCTGGCACCTCTGCGGTCCCACATGTGGTCTAGCCACCGGCGACAGGGGGACACTGTGGGAGGTCGGCAGAAAGTGCAGCGCGGTGCCTAGTGGTGCTTGGGCGTAGAGGGGGAGAGCAGCCCGGCCACAGGCAAGCAGCTCTGGGGTGCCTGATCCCAGCCTCACAGCCCAGAGTTGATGGTGATGCCTGGAATCAGGTGGACATAGCTGGACCGTGCTTTTGGGCCAGCCACATGCCACTGCCATTGTCTATGGCCATACCACCCAGAAAGTGAGAGAGACCCAAGCTGCGGCCCATGGGCAGGCTCGAAGCCACTGCTTCCACCACAGGGCCGGTGCACTCCATAATTTTCAGGGCCCACAGCACCAAGAGGACAGGGAGGAGCCAACAAAGGAATGACGCTACAAAACGCACCCCCAAAGCAACTAACCAATCCAAGTAAAAAGACGTCTCAGGGCTCCATTGGTTTTCCTGCATGGGTGGCCCTGTCCCCCTGTTCTAGCCCGGCCCAGGCACCCTCCACCCTACCCTCGCCAAAGGGGCCCCTATCTACCAGAGCAGAGTCTCCCTCTCCAAGTCTGTTGCTCTCCCACTCTAGCTCCTTCACCCTCTCCATTTCTCTACTTCCCACTCCAGCTTGCTTGCTCTCTGTCTCTCTCAATTTCCCCAATTCCTCTCTGTCTCTCTCTCTATCACTGTTTCTCACTCTCCTTCCTTTTCTATCTCTCCATCCCTCTGTCCCTTGTTCACCTTCAAGCTGTCTGTGTCTTTGTGTGTCTGTGTGTGTGCTTGTGTTCCCACGCTTGTGCCCGTGTGTGTCTGTGTGTTTGGGAGTGGGTTTGCTAGTGACTGTGGTGGGGTGTGTCTGGATAACCATCAGTACCATTGTCCCAGGATCAGGCTGCCAAATCTTAGTGAGCACGTGGGTGTCACAGTTGCCGTAATAGTCTCATACAGGTAGGTGTGTGGATCCTGTTTATTTTCATGTAGACAAGGAGAGTGAAACTACAGAGAAAAGAAACGTCCCATGCATCACATCTTGATGAAGAATTCCTGTTTCCTGCAAAATGGGGAGTCTCCAATATAGCCTGTTTGAAAACTGGAAAGGAGAGCACCAACAAGATGCTGGTCTTCCACGCATTACTGGAAGTTTCTGGGGCATGACAGAGCTCAGGAAACAGTCAACACAGTCACTCTTTCAGGGGTGCAGAGACTTCTCAGCCCACTGTCTGGCACTCCCTAGTGAGATGAACCCAGTACATCACAGGGAAATGCAGAAATCAACCCTCTTCTGCATCGCTCATGCTGGGAGCTGTACACTGGAGCTGTTCCTATTCAGCCATCATCCTGAGAAACTTCTTTGTGATGTGTGCATTCATCTCACAGAGTTGAAACTTTCTTTTGATTGAGCAGTTTTGCAACACTGTTTTTGTAGAATCTGCAAGAGGATATTAGGAGCATTTTGAGGCCTATTGTGGAAAAGGAAATATCTTCACATAAAAACTATATAGAAGCATTCTGAGAAACTTCTTTGTGATGTGTGCATTCAACTCACAGAGTTGAACCTATCTTTTGATTGAGCAGTTTTGATACTCTCTTTTTGTAGAATATGGAAGTGGGTATTTGGAGCCCTTTGAGGCCTATGGAGGAAAAGGCAATGACTTCACATAAAAACTACACAGAAGGATTCTGAGAAACTTCTTTGTGATGAATAAATTCATCACACAGAGTGGTAACTTTCTTTTGATTGAGCAGTTTTGAAACACTCTTTTTGTATAATCTTCAAGTGGATATTTGGAGCACTTTGAGGCCTGTTGTGGAAAAGGAAATACTTTCACATAAAAACTACACAGAAGCATTCTGAGAAACTTCTTTGTGATGTGTGTATTTATCTCACAGATTTGAAATTTTCTTTTGATTGAGGCTTTTTGAAACACTCATTTTGTACAATCTGCAAGTGGGTATTTGGAGCCCTTTGAGGCCTATTGTGGAAAAGGGAATATCTTCACTTAAAAACTACACAGAAGGATTTTGAGAAACTACTTGGTGATGAATAAATTGATCACACAGAGTTGAACCTTTCTGTTGATTGAGCAGTTTTGAAACACTCTTTTTGTAGAATCTACAAGTGGATATTTGGAGCGCTTTGAGGCCTATTGTGGAAAAGGAAATATTTTCACATAAAAACTACACAGAACCATTCTGAGAAACTTCTCTGTGATGTGTGCATTCATCTCACAGTGTTGAAACTTTCATTTGATTGAGCAGTTTGGAAACACTCTTTTTATAGAATCTGCAAGTGGATATTTGGAGCACACTGAGGCCTATTGTGGAAAAGGAAATATCTTCACATAAAAACTGCACAGAAGCATTCTGAGAAACTTCTTTGTGATGTGTGCATTCATCTCACAGGGTTGAACCTATCTTATGACTGAGCAGTTTTGAAACACCCTTTTGGTAGACTCTGCAAGTGGTTATATGGAGTGCTTAGAGGCCTACTGTGGAAAAGCAAATATCTTCACATAAAACTACACAGAAGCATTCTGAGAAACTTCTTTGTGATGTGTGTATTTATCTCAGAGATTTGAAACTTTCTTTTGATTGAGACCTTTTGAAACACTCTTTTTGTACAATCTGCAAGTGGATATTTGGAGCCCTTTGAGACCTATTGTGGAAAAGGAAATATCTTCACAAAAAAACTACACAGAAGCATTCTGAGAAACTACTTGGTGATGAATAAATTCATCACACAGGGTCAAACCTTTCTTTTGATTGAGCAGTTTTGAAACACTCTTTTTGTAGAATCTGCAAGTGGATATTTGGAGTGCTTTGAGACCTATTGTGGAAAAGGAAATATTTTCACATAAAAACTACACAGAACCATTCTGAGAAACTTCTCTGTGATGTGTGCATTCATCTCACAGTGTTGAAACTGTCATTTGATTGAGCAGTTTGGAAACACTCTTTTTGTAGAATCTGCAAGTTGATATTTGGAGCCCGTTGAGACCTATGGTGGAAAGCGAAATATCTTCACATAAAAACTATACAAAAGCATTCTGAGCAGCTTCTTTGTGATGTGTGCATTCATCTCACAGAGTTGAACCTTGCTTTTGATTGAACCATTTTGAAACACTCTTTTTGTAGGATCTTCAAGTGGATATTTGGAGCGCTTTCAGGCTTCTTGTGGAAAAGGAAATGTCTTCACATAAAAACTACACAGAAGCATTGTGAGACACTTCTTTGTAATGTGTGCATTCAAGTCACAGAGTTGAACTTATCTTTTGATTGAGGAGTTTTGAAACACTCTTTTTATATAATCAGCAAGTGGATATTTGGAGCACACTGAGGCCTATTGTGGAAAAGGAAATATCTTCACATAAAACTACACAGAAGCATTATGACAAACTTCTTTGTGATCAGTGCATTCATATCACAGATTTGAACCTTTCCTCTAATTGAGCAGTTTTGAAAAACTCTTTTTGTAGAATCTGCAATTGGATATGTGGAGAACTTTGAGGCCTATGGTTGAAAAGGAAATATCTGCCCATAAAAATTACATGGAAGCATTATGAGAAACTTCATTGTGATGCATGCATTCATGTCACAGAGATGAAACTTTCTTTTGATTGAGCAGTTTTGAAACAATCTTTTTGTAGAATGTGGAAGTGGATATTTGGAGTGCTTTGAGGCCTATTGTGGAAAATGAAATATCTTCACTCTAAAATTGGACAGAAGCATTCCCAGAAACTTCTTTGCGATGTGTGCATTCAACTCAGAGAGTTGAATCTTTCTTTTGATTGAGCAATTATGAAACACTCTTTTTGTGGAATCTGCAAGTGGATATTTGGAGAGCTTTTTGGCCACTAGTGGAAAAGGCAACATCTTCAAATAAAAACTATACAGCAGCATTCTGAGAAACTTCTTTGTGATGTGTGCATTCATCTCAGAGAGATGAACCTTTCTTTTGATTGAGCAGTTTTGAAAAACTCTTTTTGAAGAATCTGTAAGTGGATATTTGGAGTGATTTGGGGCCGATGGTGGAAAAGGAAGTATCTTCAAATAAAAACTAGACAGAAGCATTCTGAGAAACTTCTTTGGATGAGTGCATTCATTTCACAGAATTGAAACTTTCTTTTCATTCACCAGTTTTCAAACACTCTTTTTGTAGAATCTGCAAGAGGATATGTGGAGTGCTTTGAGGCCAATGGTGGAGAAGGAAGTATCTTCGCATAAGAACCACACAGAAGCATTCTGAGAAACTTTTTTGTGATGTGCTCATTCATCTTACAGAATTCAACATTACTTTTGATTGAGCAGCTTTGACACACTCTTTTAGTAGAATCTCCAAGAGGATATTTGGAGCGCTTTGAGGCCTAATGGGGAAAAGTAAATATCTTCACATAAAAACTACACAAAAGCATTCTAAGAAACTGCTTTGTGATGTGTCCATTTATCCCACAGAGTTGTACCTTTTTCTTTGGATTGCACAATTTGGACTCTGTGTTTTTGTGGTATCTGCAAATCGATATTTGGAGGGGTTTGAGGCCCACAGTGGAAAAAGTAATATCTTCATATAAAAACTAGACAGAAACATTTTGAGAAACTACTTTGTGATGTGTGTATTCAGCTCACAGAGTTGAACATTTCTTTTAATGGAGCAGTTTTGAAACACTCTTTTTGTACAATCTGCAAGTGGATATTTTGATTGCTTTGTAGCCTCTGGGGTAAAAGCAAATTTCTTCATATAAAAACTAGACAGTAGGATTCTGTGGAACGTCTTTGTGATGTGTGCATTCATCTCACCGAGTTGAACCTTTCTTTTGATTGAGCAGTTTTGAAACACTCTTTTTGTAGAATCTGCAAGTGGATATGTGAAGCGATTTGAAGCCTATGGTGGAAAAGGAAATATCTTCACATAAAAACTAGACAGAGGCATTCTCAGAAACTTCTTTGTGATGTGTGCATTCAACTCACAGAGTTGAACCTATCTGTAGATTGAGCAGTTTAGAATCTCTCTTTTTGGAGAATCTGCATGTGGATATTTGGAGCCCTTCACGCCTTATGGTAGAAAAGGAAATATGTTCAAATAAAAACTATGCGGAAGCATTCAGAGAAACTTCTTTGGATGAGTGCATTCTTCAAACAGAGTTGAAACTTTCTTTGGATTGTGCAGTTTTGAAACATTCTTTTCATAGAATCTGGAAGTGGATATTTGGAGGGCTTTGATTGCTATCTTGGAGACGGAGATATCTTCACATAAAAACTACACAGAAGCATTCTTAGAAACTTCTTTGAGAGGTATGCATTCAACTCAGAGTTGAACCTGTCTTTTGATTGAGCCGTTATGAATCTCTCTTTTTGCAGAATCTGCAAGTGGGTATTAGGAGCCCTTTGAGGCCTACTTGGGAAATCAAATATCCTCACATAAAAACTACAGAGAGGCATTCTGAGAAACTTCTTTGTGATGTGTGCATTCAACTCACAGAGTCGAACCCATCTTTTCATTAAGCAGTTTTAAATCTCTCTTTTTGCAGGATCTGAGGGTGGATATTTGTAGACATCTGAGGCCTATTGTGGAAAAGCAAATATCTTCACATAAAAACTACACGAAAGCATTCTGAGAAACTTCTTTGTGATGTGTGCATTCAACTCACTGAGTTGAACCTATCTTTTGATTGAGAGAAGCATTCTGAGAAACTCCCTTTGATGTGTGCATTCATCTCACAGGGTTGAACCTATCTTATGATTGAGCAGTTTTGAAACACTCTTTTTGTAGAATCTGCCAGTGGATGTTTGGAGCGCTTTGAGTCCTAACGTGGAAAAGCAAACATCTTCACCTAAAATTCTGAAAGTAAATTCTGAGAAACTTCTTTGTGATGTATGCATTCATTTCACAGAGTTGAACATTTCTTTTGATTAAGCCGTATTGAAACACTGTTTTTGTATGATCTGCAAGTGTATCTTTGGAGCTATTTGAGGCCTACAGTGGAAAAGGAAATATCTTCACATAAAAACTACACAGAAGCATTCTGAGAAACTGATTTGTGATGTGCGCATTCAACTCACAGAGTTGAACCTATCTTTTCAATGAGCAGTTTAGCATCTCTCTTGTAGAATCTGCAAGTGGGTATTTGGAGCCCTTTTCACCCTATGGTGGAAAAGTAAATATCTTCAAATAAAAACTACACAGAAGTGTTCAGAGAAACTTCTTTGTGATGAGTGCATTCACCACACAGAGTTGAACCTTTCTTTGGATTGAGCAGTTTTGAAACAGTCTTTTCGTAGAATCTGGAAGTGGCTATTTGGAGGGATTTGAGGACTATATTGGAGAAAAAGATATCTTCACATAAAAACTACAGTGAAGAATTTGAGAAACTTCTTTGTGAGGTGTGTATTCAACTAACAGAGTTGAAACTATCTTTTGATTGAGCTGTTTTGAATCTCTTTTTGCAGAATCTGCAAGTGGATATTAGGAGTGCTTTGAGGCCTACTGTGGAAAATAAAATAGCTTCACATAAAAACTACACAGAAGCATTCTGAGAAACTGCTTTGTGATGTGTGCATTCAACTCACAGAGTTGAAACTATATTTTGATTGAGCAGTTTCGAATCTCTGTTTTTGCAGAATCTGTTACTGGATATTTGGAGGGTTTTGAGGCCAACTGTGGAAAATCAAATATCTTCACATAAAAACTACACAGAAGCATTCTGAGAAGCTTCTTTGTGATGTGTGCATTCAAGTCACAGAGTTGAATCTATCTTTTGGTTGAGCAGTTTTGAAACTCTCTTTTTGTAGAATCTACAATTGCATATTTGGAGTCTTTTGTGGCCTATGGTGAAAAAGGAAATATCTTCACATAAAATCTACACAGAAGCATTCTAAGAAACTTATTTGTGATGTGTGCATTCATCTCAGAGAGTTGAAACTTTCTTTTGATTGAGCAGTTTAGAAGCACTCTTTCAGTAGAATCTGCAAGTGGATATTTGGAGCCCTTTGTGGCCTGTTGTGGAAAAGGAAATATCCTCACATAAAAACTACACAAAAGCATTCTGAGAAATTCCTTTTTGATGTGCGCATTCCTCTCACAGGATTGAACTCTTCTTTTGATTGAGCAGTTTTTAAACATTATTTTTGTAGAATCTGGAAGTGGATATTTGGAGGGCTTGGAGGTCAATTTTGGAAAAAAAGATATCTTCAAATAAAAACTACACAGAAATCTTCTGAGAAACTTCTTTGTTATGTGTGTCTTCAACTCACAGTGTTGAACCTATCTTTTGATTGAGCAGTTTTGAATCTCTCTTTTTGCAGAATCTGCAAGGGGATGTTTAGAGAGCTTTGAGGTCTACTGTGGAAAATCAAATATCTTCACACAAATACTACACGGAAGCATTCTGAGAAACTTCTTTGTGATGTGTGCATTCAACTCACAGAGTCAAACCTGTCTGTTGATTGAGCAGTTTTGAAATCTCTCTTTTTGTAGAATCTGCACGTGAATATTTGGAGCCCTTTGAGGCCTACTGTGGAAAAGCAAATATCTTCACATAAAAACTACACAGAAGCATTCTGAGAAACTTCTTTGTGGTGTGTGCATTTATTTCACAGTGTTGAATCTTTCTTTTCATTGAGCAGTTTTGAAACACTCTTTTTGTACAATCTGCTAGTGGATATTTGGAGCAATTTGAGGCCTATTGTGGAAAAGGAAATATCTTCATATAAAAACTACACAGAAGCATTCTCACAGAATTCTTTGCGGTGAGTGAATTCATCACACAGAGTGCAACCTTTCTTTCGATTGAGCAGTTCAGAAACACTCTTTTTGTAGAACTGGAAGTGGATATTTGGAGGGCTTTGGGGCTTATTTTGGAAAAGGAAATATCTTCCCATAAAAACTACACAGAAGCATTTTGAGAAACTTCTTTGTTATGTGTGCATTCAACCCACAGAGTGGAAACTATCTTTTGATTGAGCAGTTTTGAATCTCCATTTTTGCAGAATCTGCAAGTGGATATTTGGAGCACTTTGAGACATACCATGGAAAAGCAAATATCTTCACATAAAAACTACACAGAAGCATTCTGAGAAATTTCTTTGCCACGTGTGCAGTCAACTTACACAAGGATGAACCTATCTTTTGATTGACCAGTTTTGAATCTCTCTTTTTGAAGAATCTGTAAGTGGATATTTGGAGAGCTTTTAGGCCTATTGTGGAAAAGGAAATATCTCCACATAAAAACTACATATAGAAATTCCTAGAAACTTCTTTGTGATGTGTGCATTCAACTCACAAAGTTGAACCTATCTTTTGATTGAGCAGTTTTGAATCTCTCTTTTTGTAGTTACTGCCATTGGATATTTGGGGTCCTTTGTGGCCTATGGTGGAAAAGGAAATATATTCAAATAAAAACTACAGAGAAGCATTATGAGAAACTTATTTGTGATGTGTACATTTATCTCACAGGGTTGAACCTATGTTATGATTCAGCAGTTATCAAACACTCTTTTTGTAGAATCTGCAAGTGGATATTTGGTGTGTTTTGAGGCCTATTGTGGAAAAGCAAATGTCTTCACATAAAAACTACACAGAAACATTCAGAGAAATTTCTTTGTGATGGGTGCATCTATCACACAGAGTTGAACCTTTCTTTTCAATGAGCTGTTTCGAGATGAATGCACACATCACAAAGAAGTTTCTCAGATTGCTTCTGTCTAGATTCTATATGAAGATATTTCCTTTTCTGCCTTAGGCTGCAAAGTGCTCCAAATGTCCACTTGCAGATTCTACAAAAAGAGTGTGTCCAAGCTGCTCAGTGAAAAGAAAGGTTCAACTCTGGGAGATGAACACACATGTCACAAAGAAGTTTCTCAGAATTATTCTGTATAGTTTATATTGGAAAATACTACCTTTTCCACCATAGGCCTCAAAGCGCTCCAAGTGTCCACTTGCAGATTCTACAAAAAGAGTGTTTCAAAACTGCTCAATCAAAAGATCGGTCCAGCTCTCTGAGTTGAATGCACACATCACAAAGAAGTTTCTCAGAATTTCTCTGTGTAGTTTTTATGTGGAGACATTTCCTTTTCCACAATAGGCCTAAAAACTCTGCAAATATCCACTTGCAGATTCTGCAAGAAGAGAGATTCAAAACTGGTCAATCAAAAGATAGGTTCGACCTTGTGAGTTGAATACACACGTGACAAAGAAGTTTCTCAGAATGTTTCTGTGTAGTTTTTAGGTGAAGATATTTGCTTTTCCACGGTAAGCCTCAAAACGCTCCAAATATCCGCTTGCAGATTCTGCAAAAAGAGAGATTTAAAAGTGCCCCATCAAAAGATAGTTTCCACTCTGTGAGTTGAATAGACACATAACAAAGAAGTATCTCATAATGCTTCTGTGTAGTTTTTATGTGAAGATAGTTCCTTTCCAAAATAAGCCTCAAAGCCCTCCAAATATCCACTTCCAGATTCGACAAAAAGAGTGTTTCAGAACTGATCAATCAAAATAAAGCTTCCACTCTGTGTGATGAATTCACTCATAACAAATAAGTTTGAAAGAATGCTTCTTTGTAGTTTTTATGTGAAGATATTTCCTTTTCCACAATAGACCTCAAATCGCTCCATGTATCCACTAGCAGATACTACAAAAAGAGTGTTTCAAAGCTGCTCAATCAAAAGAAAGGTTCAACACTGTGAGATGAATGTACACATCACAAAGAAGTTTCTCAGAATGCTTCTGTGTACTTTTTATGTGAAGATATTTTCTTTTCCACCATAGGCTTTAAATCGCTCCAAATTTCCAATTGCACATTCTACAAAAAGAGAGTTTCAAAACTGCTCAATCAAAACAAATGTTGAACTCTGTGAGATGAATGCACACATCGCAAAGAAGTTTCTCAGATTGCTGCTGTCTAGAATTTATGAGAAGATATTTCCTTTTCTAACATAGGCCACAAAGCGCTACAAATGTCCACATGCAGATCCTACAAAAAGAGTGTTTCAAAACTGCTCAATCAAAAGAAAGGTTCAACTCTGTGAGATGAAAGCCCACATCACAAAGAAGTTTATCAGAATTATTCTGTCTGGTTTATATGTGAACATATTTCTTTTTCCACCATAGACCTCAAAGCGCTCCAAATGTCCACTTGCAGATTCTACCAAAAGAGAGTTTCAAAACTGGTTAATCAAAAGAATGGTTTAACTGTGAGATGAAAGCCCTCATCACAAAGAATTTTCTCAGATTGCTTCTGTCTAGATTTTATGTGAAGATATTTCCTTTTCTACCATCGGCCACAAAGCGCTCCAAAGGTCCACTTGCAGATTCTACAAAAAGAGACTTTCAGAACTGCTCAATCAAAAGAAATGTTTAACTCTGTGAGATGAATGCACACGTCATGAAGAAGTTTATCAGATTGCTTCTGTCTAGATTTTATGTGAAGATATTTCCTTTTCGAACTTAGGCCGCAAATGGCTCCAAATATCCTCTTGCAGATTCTACAAAAAGAGTGTTTCCAAATTTCTCAATCAAAAGAAAGGTTCAACTCTGTGAGGTGAACACACACATCACAAAGAATTCTTCTGACTAGTTTTTATGTGAAGATATTTCCTTTTCCACCATAGGCCTCAAAGCGATACTAATGTCCACTTTCAGATTCTACAAAAAGAGAGTTTCAAAACTGCTCAATCAAAAGAAAGTTTTAACTCTGTGAGATGAATGCACACATCACAAAGAAGTTTCTCAGATTGCTTATGTCTAGATATTATGTGAAGACATTTCCTTTTCTGCCATAGGCTGCAAAGCTCTCCAAATGTCCACTTGCAGATTCTACAAAAAGAGTGTTTCCAAACTGCTCAATCAAAAGAAATGTTCAACTCTGTGAGATCAACTCACGCATCACAGAGAAGTTTCTCATAATTCTTCTGTGTAGTTTTTATGTGAAGATATTTCCTTTTCTACCATAGGCCTGAAAGTGCTCCAAATGTCCACTTGCAGCTTCTACAAAAAGAGTGTTTCAAAGTGCTCAATCAAAAGAAAAGTTTAACTCTGTGACATGAATGTATACATCATGAAGAAGTTTCTCAGATTGCTTCTGTCTAGATTTTATGTGAATATAGTTCCTTTTCTACCATAGACCACAAAGCGCTCCAAATCTCCACTTGCAGATTCTACAAAAAGAGTGTTTCCAAACTGCTCAATCAAAAGAAATTTTCAACTCTGTGAGATGTGCCCACACATCACAGAGAAGTTACTCTGAATTCTTCTGTCTAGGTTTTATGTGAAGATGTGTCCTTTTCCGCCACAGGCCTCAAAGCATTCCAAATGTCCACTTGCAGATACTACAAAAAGAGAGTTTCAAAACTGCTCAATCAAAAGAAATGTTTAACTCAGTGAGACGAATGCACTCATTACAAAGAAGTTTCTCAGATTTCTTCTGTCTAGATTTTATTTGAAGATATATCATTTTCCACCATAGGCCACACGGCGCTAGAAAAGTCCACTTGCAGATTCTACAAAAAGAGTATGTCAATACTAGTCCATCAAAAGAAAGGTTCAACTCTGGGAGATGAACGCACACCTCACAGAGAAGTTTCTCAAAATGCTTCTATCTATTTTTATGTGAAGATATTTCCTTTTCCACCACAGGCATCAAAGTGCTCCAAATGTCCACTTGCAGATACTACAACAAGAGAGTTTCCAAACTGTTCAATCAAAAGAAAAGGTTAACTCTGTGAGATGAATGCACCCTTCACAAAGAAGTTTCCCAGATTGCTATTGTCTAGATTTTATGTGAAGATGTTACCTTTTCTACCATAGGCCACAAAGCGCTCTAAATGTCCACTTGCAGATTCTACAGATAGTTTCTAAACTGCTCTGTCAAAAGAAAGATTTATCTCTGTGAGATAAATACATCACAAAGAAGCTTCTCAGATTGCTTCTGTATAGATAGCATGTGAAGATATTTCCTTCTGTACCATAAGCCGCAAAGCTCTCCAAACTTCCACTTGCAGATTCTACAAAAAGAATGTTTCCAAACTGCTCAATCAAAAGAAAAATTCAACTTTGTGAGATGAATGCACACATCACAAAGGAGTTTCTCAGAATTCTTCGGTCTACATTTTCTAAGAAGATATTTCCTTTTCCAACATAGACCTCAAAGCGCTTCAAATGTCTACTTGCAGATTTTACAGAAAGAGAGTTTCAAAACTGCTCAATCAAAACAAATGTTTAACTCTGTGAGATGAATGCACACATCAAAAAGAAGTTTCTCAGATTGCTTCTTTCTAGATATTATGTGAAGATATTTCCTTTTCTACCATAGGCTGCAAAGAGCTCCAAATGTCCACTTGCAGATTCTACAAAAACGATGTTTCCAAACTGCTCAATCAAAAGAAAGATTCAACTCTGTGAGATGAACGCTCACATTACAAAGTAGTTTCTCAGAATTCTTCTGTCTAGTTTTTATGTGAAGATATTTCCTTTTCCACCATAAGCCTCAAAGCGCTCCAAATTTCCACTTGCAGATTCTACGAAAAGATAGTTTCAAAAATGCTCAATCAAAAGAACCATTTAACTCTGTAGGATGAATGCACACATCAGAAAGAAGTTTCTCAGATTGCTTCTGTCTAGATTTTATGTGAAGGTATTTCCTTTTCTACCACAGGCCTCAAAGTGCTCCAAATGTCCACTTGCAGATTCTACATAAACAGTGTTTCCAAACTGTTCAATCAAAAGAAAGGCTCAACTCTGTGAGATGAACACACACATCACAAAGAAGTTTGTCAGAATTCTTCTGTGTAATTTTTATGTGAGGATATTACCTTTTCCACCATAGGCCTCAAAGCGCTCCAAATGCCCACTTGCAGATTCTACAAAAAGAAAGTTTCAGAACTTCTCAATCAAAAGAAAGGTTTGACTCTGTGAGATGAATGCACACATCAGAAACAAGTTTCTCAGATTGTTTCTGTCTAGATTTTGTGTGAAGATACTTCCTTTTCTACCATTGGCTGCAAAGGACTCGAAATGACCAATTGCCAGATCCTACAAAAAGAGTGTTTCCAAACTGCTCAATCAAAAGAAAGGTTCAACTCCATGAGATGAATGCAAACATCACAAAGGAATTTCCCAGAATTGTTCTGTCTAGTTTATATGTGAAGATATTTCCTTTACCACCATAGGCCTCAAAACGCTCCAAACGTCCAATTGCAGAATCTACAAAAAGAGAATTTCAAAACTGTCCAATCAAAAGAAAGGTTTATCTCTGTGAGATGAATGCATACATCTCAAAGAAGTTTCTCAGATTGCTTTTGTTAAGATTTTATGTGAAGATATTTCCTTTTCTACTGCAGGGCACAAAGCTCTCCAAATGTCCACTTGCAGATTCTATGAAAAGAGAGTTTCAAAAATGCTCAAGCAAAAGAAACATTTAAAGCTGTGGGATGAATGCACACATCACAAAGTAGTTTCTCAGATTGCTTCTGTGGAGATTCTATGTGAAGGTGTTTCCTTTTCTACCATCAGCCTCAAAGCACTCAAAATATTCACTTGCAGATTCTACAAAAAGAGGGTTTCCAAACTGCTCAGTCAAAGGAAGGTTCAACTCTGTGAGATGAATGCACACATCATGAAGAAGTTTCTCATAATTCTTCTGTCTAATTTTTATGTGAAGATATATCATTTTCTACCATAGTCCTCAAGGTGCTCGAAATGTCCACTTGCAGATTCTAAAAAAAAAAAAAATATTTCAATACTGGTCCATCAAAAGAAAGGTTGAACTCTGGGAGATGAATGCACACATCACAAAGAAGTTTCTCAGATATCTTTAGTCTAGTTTTTATGTGAAGATATTTCCTTTTCCAACACAGGGCTCAAAGCGCTCCAAATGTCCACATGCAGATTCTACAAAAAGAGAGTTTAAAAAACTACTCAATGAAAAGAAAAGTATAACTCTGTGAGATGAATGTACACATCACCAAGAAGTTTCTCAGATATCTTCTGTCTAGATTTCATGTGAAGATATTTCCTTTTTTACCATAGGCCGCAAAGCGCTCAAAATGTCCACTTGCAGATTTTACAAAAAGAGTGTTTCCAAACTGCACAATCACAAGAAAGGTTCAACTCTGGGAGATGTATGCACACATCCAGATAAGTTTCTCAGAATGTTTCTGTCTAGTTCTTATATAAAGGTATTCCCTTTTCTACCATAGGCCACAAAGCACTCCAAATGTCCACTTGCACGTTCTACAAAAAGATTGTTTCCAAACTCCTCAATCAAAAGAAAGTTTCAATTCTGGGAGATGAATGCACACATCACAACGAAGTTTCTCAGATTTCCTCTATCTAGATTTTATGTTAAAATATTTCCTTTTCTATGATAGGCCACAAAAAGCTTCAAATGTCCACCTGCAGATTCTACAAAAAGAGTGTTTCCAAACTCCTCAATCAAAAGAAATGCTCAACTCTGTGAGATGAATGCACACATCACAAAGTGGTTTCTCAGAATACTTCTGTCTAGTTTTTATGTCAAGGATTTCCTTTTCCACCATAGGCCTCAAAGAGCTCCAAATGTCCACTTGCAGATTCAACAAAAAGAGTATTTCAAAACTAGTCCATCAAAAGAAATTTTCAACTCTGTGAGATGAATGCACACATCACAAAGAAGTTTCTCTGATTGCTTCTGTCTGTATTTTATGTGAAGATATCTCCTTTTTTACCACAGGCTGCAGAGCGCTCCAAATCCCAATTTGCAGATTCTACAAAAAAAGTGTTTCCTAATGCTCAATCAAAAGAAAGGTTCAACTATTTGAGATGCACGCACACATCACAAGTAAGTTTTGCAGAATTCTTGTCAAGTTTTAATCTGAAGATATTTCCTCTTCCACCATAGGCCTCAAAGTGCTTCAAATATCCACTTGCAGATTCTACAAAAAGAGCCTTTCAAAACTGCACAATCAAAGGAAAGGTTTAACTCTGTGAGATGAATGCACACATCAAAAAGAAATTTTTCATATTGCTTTGGTTTAGATTTCACGTGAAGTTATTTCCTTTTTCACCATAGGGGTCAAAGCCTTCCAAAAGTCCACTTGCAAATTCTGCATAAAGAGAGTGTCGAAAGTGCCCAATCCAAAGAAAGGGTTAACTCTGGGAGATGAATTCACACATCCCACAGAAGTTTCTCAGATTGCTTCTGTCTAGATTTTATGTGAAGATATTTCCTGTTCTACCATAGGCCACATAGCGCTCCAAATGTCCACTTGCAGATTCTACAAAAAGACTGTTTCCAAACTGCTCAACCAAAAGAAAGGTTCAGCTGTTTGAGATGAATGCACACATCACAAAAAAGTTCCTCAGAATTCTTCTGTCTTTTTTTGTGTGTGTGAAGATATTTTCTTTTCCACCATAAGCCTCAAGGAGCTCGAAATGTCCACTTGCAGATTCTACAAAAAGCATATTTCAAAACTGCTCCTTCAAAAGAAAGGTTCAACTCTGTGAGATGAATGCACACATCACAAAGAAGTTTATCAGAATGCTTCTGTCTAGATTTTATGTGAAGATATTTCCTTCTCTACCATAGGCTGCAAAGCACTCCAAATGCCCACTTGCAGATTCTATGAAAAGAGTGTTTCCAAACTGCTCACACAAAAGAAACGTTAAACTCTGTGAGATGAATGCACACATCTCAAAGATGTTTCCCAGAATTATTCTGTCTAGTATTTATCCAAAGATATTTCCTTTTCCACCATAGGCTTCAATTCGCTCCAAATGTCCACTTACGGATTCTTCAAAAAGAGAGTTTCAAAACTACTCAATCAAAACAAAGGTTTAAATTTGTGAGATCACTGCACACATCACAAAGAAGTTTATCAGAATGCTTCTGTCTAGATTTTATGTGAAGATATTTCCTTTTCTAACATAGACCGCAAAGCGCTCCAAATGTCCACTTGCACATTCTCCAAAAAGAGTGTTTCCAAACTGGTCAATCAAAAGAAAGGTTCATCTCTCTGGGGTGAACGCACACATCACAAATAAATTTCTCAGAAAGCTTCCATCTAGTTTTTACATGAAGATATTTCCTTTTCCACCATAGGCATCAAAGCGCCCCGAAAGTCCACTTGCAGATTCTAGAAAAAGAGAGGTCAAAAACTGCTGAGCCAAAAGAAAAGTTCAACTCTGTGAGAAGAATGCACACATCACAAAGAAGTTTCTCAGATTACTTCTATCTAGATTTTATGTGAAGATATTTCCTTTTATATCATAGACTGTATAGCGCTCTAAATATTCACTTGCAGATTCTACACAAAGAGTGTTTCCAAACTGCTCAATCAAAAGAAAGCTTCAACTCTGTGAAATGAACCCACACATCACTAAGAAGTTTCTCAGAATTCTTCTGTCTAGTTTTTATGTGAAGATATTTCCTTTTCCACCATAGGCCTCAAGATGCTCAAAATGTCCACTTGCAGATTCTACAAAAAGTGTATTTCAAAACTCTTCCTTCCAAAGAAAAGTTCAACTTTGGGAGATGAATGTACACATCACAAAGAAGTTTCTCAGGTTGCTTCTGTGTAGGTTTTATGTTAAGATATTTCCTTTTCTACCATAGGCCGCCAAGTGCTCCAAATATCCACTTGCAGATTCTACAAAAAGAGTGTTTCCAAACTGCTCAATCAAAAGAATGACTGAACTCTGTGAGATGAATGCACACATCACAAAGAAGTTTCTCAGAATTCTTCTGTCTAGTTTTTATGTGAAGATATTTCCTTTTCCACCATAGGCCTGAAAGAGCTCCAAATATCCACTTGCAGATTCAACAAAAAGAGCATTTCAAAACTGGTCCATCAAAAGAAAGTTTCAAATCTGTGAGATGAATGCACACATCACAAAGAAGTTTCTCAGGTTGCTTCTATCTAGATTTTATGTGAAGATATTTCCTTTTCTACCATAGTCTGCAAAGTGCTCCAAATCTCCATTTGCAGATTATACAAGAAGAGTGTTTCCAAACTGCTCAATCAAAAGAAAAGTTCAACTCTGTGAGACGAACGCACGCATCACAAATAAGTTTCTCAGAATTCTTCTGTCTGGTTTTAATCTGAAGATATTTCCTCTTCCACCACAGGCCTCAAAGTGCTCCAAGTGTCCACTTTCAGATTCTACAAAAGGAGAGTTTTAAAACTGCACCATCAAAGGAAAGGTTTAACTCTCTGAGATGAATGCAGACAACAAAAAGAAGTTTCTCAGATTGCTTCTGTCTAGATTTCATGTGAAGATATTTCCTTTTCTACCATAGGCTGCAAAGCGCTCCAAATGTCCACTTGCAGATTCTACAAAAAGGGTTTTTCCAAACTGCTCAATCAAAAGAAAAAGTTAACTCTGTGAGATGAACGCACACATGACAAAGAAGATTCTCAGAATTCTTCTGTCTAGTTTCTACCTGAAGGTATTTCCTTTTCCACCGTAGGCCTCAAAGCTCTCCAAATGTCCACTTGCAGATTCTAGAAAAAGAGAGGTTCAAAACTGCTCAATCAAAAGAAAGTTTCAACTCTGTAAAATGAACCCACTCTTCACTAAGAAGTTTCTCAGAATTCTTCTATCTAGTTTTTATGTGAAGATATTTCCTTTTCCACCATAGGCATCAAAGCACTCCAAATGTCCACTTGCAGATTCTACAAAAAGAGAGTTTCAAAACTGCTCAATCAAAAGAAAGGTTTAACTCTGTGAGATGAATGCACACATCACAAAGAAGTTTCTCAGATTGCTTCCATGTAGATTTTATGTTAAGACATTTCCTTTTCTACCATAGGCCACCAAGCGCTCCAAATATTCACTTGCAGATTCTACAAAAACAGTGCTTCCAAACTCCTCAATCAAAAAAAAGACTGAACTCTGTGAGATGAATGCATGCATCACAAAGAAGGTTCTCAGAATTCTTCTGTCTAGTTTTTATGTGAAGATATTTCTTTTTCCACCTTAGGCATTTAAGAGCTCCAAATGTCCACTTGCAGATTCAACAAAAAGAGTATTTCGAAACTGGCACATCAAAAGAAAGTTTCATCTCTATCAGGTGAATGCATACATCACAAAGAAGTTTCTCAGATTGCTTGTATCTAGATTTTATGTGAAGATATCTCCTTTTCTACCATAGGTCACAAAGCGCTCTAAATCTCCATTTGCAGATTATACAAAAAGAGTGTTTCCAAACTGCTCTATCAAAAGAAAGGTTCAACTCTGTGAGATGAACGCATGCATCGCAAATCAGTTTCTCAGAATTCTTCTGTCTGGTTTTAATCTGAAGATATATCCTCTTTCACCATAGGCCTCAAAGCGCTCCAAATGTCCACTTTCAGATTCTACCTGGCATGGGTGTGCAGAGTCCCCTTCCTCCAGGGACTTTCCCAGGGAAAAATGCCCTTCAACTTTGTGCTGTGTGTGAAGGGTCCTTGGAGCCGCGATTCTCTCTTGTGAGTGCTGTGCTTGGCTCCCCATCCCTATCAACTGCTCCCAGGGCTCTGACAGCAATCTGCCCTCCTATCTGCAGGAAACTGACCTCAGCTCCCACCTGTCCCCCATCCCCTGCCTCCTGGCTGACCACATGTGCCTCCCTCCTGGCTCCTCCCCCCACCCATCCCGCACAACCCCCCCAAAGCCTGATGCCCAACCCCTGCTGCCAGCCATCCCAAATGGGCTGCTGCAAGGATATGGCTCTGGCCCAGAAGCTGGAGATGCCCTGTGGCCTGAGGCATTCATGGAGCCCAGCTCCAAGTGAAGACCTCCAGTGAGCTCATTGACGGCCTGGGTGTGCTGCCTCCAGGGCCAGGCTGTGCCCACTGGTCCTCCTTCTGCCACTTCACATCGGTCTCCTCCTCAACCACCACCTCCACCTCAGCCATTAGGTCTTCCACCATAAGCACCTTCTCCTTTTCCAAGGCCTCCTCCTTGATCTGTACCCCGGCCTTCCTCTCCAGCAGAGCCTCCAGCCTGAACATGGTGTCCTCCTGGGTGCTCCGACAGACCCCGGCCTGCGCAGCCCAGCGCATCCCCAGCACCCCTAGGCTCTGGGGGCTGCTCCACAGGAGGGCTGCTCCACAAGAGGCCTGCTCCCTGAAAGTCCCGTGGGCCTCACCCTGCTGAGAACCTAGTACCACACCTACATGGACCCAGGTTTCCTGAAGGGCCCCGCTGGGCCCGCAGATCGCCACTCTCGCCATGGGGCTCAGGTCCCCACCAGGGTCAACTGCGCACAGGAGTTCAGGATCTAGAGGCCCATGTCCTGGGCTTTCAGAGCCCCGCCAGCAGGCACTGCAGACGTTGCTGCACGTGCGGGAGCCTCTGGGTCGGCAAGGCAGTGCACAACAGCAGGCACGCAGGCTGTCGGTAGCCAACCCTGGCGGCTGGCCTCCAGTGTGCCCGGGACATAGGATGCGAAGCCTTTTAGAATGCTCCTGGGAGTACAGCATTCTCAAGGAGGAAGCATGGTACTCGGAGCCTGTATTTGCCTAGACCTGCGAGAGTGCTTGCCAGGGTTCCGACCTCTGGAGCAGACGAATTCCACCTCAGCACAACCAGGCGACTTTCCTCCCAAGAGCTGGCCCCGACCCACTTACCCCAGGCCACCCCCGCCACCCTCGCCTCAGCAGCCAGAGAGAGTTCTCCTCTGGATCTGCAATATTCTGTACCACCTACCTGGCCTGCCTAATGCAGTGAGATGTTTTCATGTGTTCCCTGTGGGTCAATAGCTTGCCATACTCAGGATATCAGTTAGGGCACTGGGCTTCCATGCCCACAATGCCAAAGGCCATGCAGCCCACTTGTGCCTGCACCTAGCGCTACCTGGCACAAGCTGCGAGGGCTTCTCAGAGGAGGCTTACCCCGGGGGGCTGGTGATGCAGGTCAGCCTGGGGAGGTGTCACCCAGGGAGACGCCCACCACCATCGCACTGATTGGTCTTGCCGGGAAGTGGGCAGTAGTGGCGCGGCTCCCAGCGCCCTTTGCGTGCAGTTCGTTAGGGGGCTCCTGGAAGCCCGGGGCATGTGCCCTGAGGGCCTACCCGCCCACAGGCTCCAGTAAGCACAGCAGCAGGGTGCCTGTGGTGTGGGTCGGGTGGCACAGGCTGTGGTCTGTGAGAGTCCCAAAGAGGGCACCATTTTCAGGATAGAGTCTCTGCAGGAGGAGGCGTCCGGGGCTCAGAGCAAGGCGGCGGCCTTCGGGGAGGAGGTGGTGCTAGTGCTGGATGACATAATGGTGGAGGTGGAGGTGGAGGTGGAGGTGGAGGTGGTGGCCCAGGAGGAGGCCCTCGTGGAGTGGCAGGAGGAGGCCCAGCGGGCACAGCCTGGCCCTGGGCCCATGACCCCAGAGTCTGCACTGGAGGAGCTGCTGGCCATTCAGGTGGAGCTGGAGCCAGTTAATGCCTGAGCCAGGAAGGCCTTTTCTCAGCAGTGGGAAAAGCTGGAGAGGAGGCACAAGCCGCGCCTGTACTGCACAGGCGCCATCATCCAGAACATCCCTGGCTGCTGGGCCAATGTTGTAACCTTTTCAGTATTTCTTCTGCCTTTCTAGTTGAGAGGTGCTCTTGGGGAAGTGTAAGTAACTGATGGGCAGCTCGGCGTCGATGTGATTATTTGGGGAACAACAGTGAGTTGCCGTGGACAAATGTGGCTGTAGTAAACTGGAGCAGGCGTGGGTATTATTTTCCTGCATGCGGCAGAGAAACCCTTCGTGATGCCAAGCAGCAGACGTTTGGGGCATCTTTTTGGAGAGCAGAAGCGAGTTCTCACCAGAACAGGTTTTTCTGTGAATCAAGCTATTGTTAAGGGAGTGTGATTGCTGCCCCTTGCCAGTCCGATCTGGGAATGGGCGTCTTCGGTTATAAGCATATTCTGCCACTCCTCAGACGCCAGCGACTCTTCCCAAGTCACCCCTCCGTGTGTCAGTGCAGTCAGCCTCAGAATTATATGCACTCCATGAGCCCAAGAGGCCTTAATTCAGGGGGAGGTAGAGTAGAAAGGGAGGTCATACATGGAAGCAGATCTTAGAAATTCCTTACCCAAGCCTCTGGGTGCTCTAGGTCTTCTTCCCTCTTGCTTCTAACTTTTCCTTCCATTGCATCTAAAGGCTCTTTGACCTAAAGCAGATGGCAAACCACCTCTTGATATCAGCCCTGATCAGTGACCAAGATGAAGACATGCTGAGCTACGTGATCAACTTGGAGGTGAGGCTGGGAAGACTGAGGCTAGAGGGTTTAGTGGGGGAGGGTAAGGGAAATAATTCATTCCTGTAAGCAACAGTGGGCACCTCACCCAAAAAGATGTTTAAGCTTTCTCCACCTTGTTCTGACAGGTGAAAGAAGTGAAACATCCCATTCATCTCTGCAAGATCATGTTGTTATTTTGGAGTAACCCCTACTTCCAGAATAAAATGGTGACCAAGGAATATCTTGGGAATGTCACAGGTGACAAGTGGCTTCCAGGATGGGTAGTGGAAGGAAGATGATGGGTGGATAATTGCCAATGTGATCCAGCCCTCTTCACATAAAATCCTCTCTGTAGAATACAGGGCTTCTCATTCCACTCCAATTCAGTAGTATCCAGATTATGAAGTTGAGACTTATTGACCCAGACACCACAATAGCAGCCTTAACTTCTTCAACTGGTTTTCTGACCACAACTTCACAGGACCTAATAGGATTGCTGAGGTGCATCCTCACCGGGAAACATCAGGAATGACCTGGTGTGTTCCCAGCTGCTTAGGTCACCAGTCTGAGCCCTGATGAGGCCTTTCCCAATTGATTCCCCTGACAGATCCTATGTAAGGACCTGTGGCACAATCCCCTGCAATACTACAAGAGGATGAAGCCACCTGAAGAGGGAACAGAGATTTCAGGTAAGCCATTCAGTTGGAACTGGAGCTGTTTGATGCCCACTATGAGGGGGTTGACACCCCTCACTATTCAGGGAGCCTGGACTCTCATTTCAGAAATGTAGAAATTGAGGCTTATTTCATAAATGTGGAAATTCCTTGAGAGGAAGACAGAGAGGGACAGAATCCAGGACATTCAGGGCATTGAGCTGAAAAAGGCACTTTAGAGACTACACTGCATAGCAGGTTATAACTGTGGAGTCTTAAGCCCAGAGAAGTATAGTCCATGTCCAGATTCACTGAGAGGTAAAGCTGAATCATTAACTTCAATTTGTGGCACTTGATTCCATGGCTGTCAGCCCCACTGGCAGTCATCCTATCAACCCCTTAAGATTTAACTCCCTGAATGTGCCTCTTTGTCATCCTTGCCACAAACCACACAAGACTGTTTAGATTGATGGATTTTCTTAAGCTACTGCCTGATGATTCGGTGTGCTTTTTGTGAACAATGCATCTTGTTAGCTGAATCCCATCACAGAGTATACTGGGAATGGAGCAGGTATTGCAGAGAACAGTTTGTAACACATGGTAGGACGAAGTTTAAGAGATCAAAAGTGGGAAAGGGGTAGTCTTTACTCAGCAGGACCTAAAATTAAAACATTTTAAATTATGGCTCAGAGGAAATGCATTTTGACATGCGTTTGTGTTTCTCTAGGGGACTTCTGGATTTTGAGATGAATATGATGGAGCATCAGGCTTTACCTGAAACAGCAGAACTCCTACAAAGTTACTACAGTATGCAGGATGTCAGTACTCAGTATGGTCTTATGCACACGACCTAAAGGAAAAACAGATCCAGGCACAAAAAAACGCAGACAGGAAGAGGGGTTAAACTTGGATTTTATGGAATGAAAAATAAACACTATTAAGGATGTGTGACTCTGTGTGTGTGTGTGTGTGTGTGTGTGTGTGTCTGTGTATCTGTGTGTGTGGGTATGTTCATCCCGGATTCATGTGTCACAATGAATTGATCAATCCATATGTTTTATTCTTTTCATGGAAATGACCAGTCTGTGTTGGAGCTAGGCCTCTAAAGTTGTAGAGTGAATGGGTGTAGAATGTTTGGGGATTCTTCTTACAATACAGAGTTGGGGAGATACAAGAAAGAAAAGACAGTTTACCTGGAGGCTTACTTCACCCTACGGAAGCAGAGGTAGTTCATTGAAAGGGGTTAGTGGCCACTAAGATATCCAGGACCCAGTTTGCTGGGATAAGGTAACTCCAAAATCCTTCATTTTGGGTATCATCAAACACATTAAGATAGCACAGGATGATGGAAATCTTAAAGTTCACTTTCATGTTGAAATCACATGTTCTGCTTTTAAAGGTGAATGCATAATCCTTTTCTGGAACAATCAGCCTCTCAGGACCAGGGGTACCATCAATGTGAGAAGAAATGGGCATGTAAGGTGTCTGGAGGGACTATTGGAAAGGTGACAGAGGCATGTGGGAAGGCATTCAGGGTACGCCTTATTTTTTTTTTTCTGGCATAGGTGACTATGGGAAAACACAAACATGCAAAAGTGAGGGGAAGGTTGGTGGATTTGTGTAATAGAAGATTGCCAGAGGATCCATGCATGGACTCTGGGGTGGCTGCTTGCCAGGAACATCTGTGTCTATGCACAGGACAAGGGGTGGCCTCTGTCATGGATGGAGGAGGAGGATTTCAGAGTTGGGTGCAGAACTTTCTTCCCCATTCCCAGATAAAACAGATACAACATGAGCATCCCTGTCAAAGACACACTAATAGAGTGCTAACATTCCTGTCCCATATGAACTGGTCAGCCCAGCTTCTGTAAGAAGAGCTATATTGTTTCAGGAAAGAGGGTTTGACAGTCAGAAGTTCATGAATCTATTGTGCTGCCTTCAGTATGCATTCCACACCTTCTGCTCGGTATCAGCAGATGAGCTTTGAAAATCTATAGCTCAGTTTTGCCCCTGCTCTCATGCAGACAGCTGAGGCCTCTGGAGCAGGAGTTTTGACCTCTTCTGACTACTGTCCCCATGACCCACAAACACATGAGAAACAGGTTTTCTCAGCAAATTATTCCTGAAAACAGTGGGAACTCTTTGGCCCCCTCAAGCTGCCCTCTATCTTACTGTGTGCTGGTCGAAGGGCACTGTGGTCCATTACAGTAACGCTATAGTGGGAGTGGGGCAGTAGATTGGTGTGCGCACTCAGGGCAACTCAGATTGGGAAATGTCTGGGGACTTGCTTATAATTAGGTTGTCTGAAAAGGTCTTGCACCAAATTTAATGCATAGGAAAAAGTTGAGGAAATGGTCTTGCAATGATTTTTCTAGGAGGTAAATAGATAAGGAAAAGACTGTAAGTAGATGCCAGGGCTAGTTTTTGAGCTAGCCTGTTTTAAAGTGGTGGTAGGGGAAGAGCTTTTCCCAAGGCAGGCAGCAAACTAGAAACTGTCTACAATGATAGGCTTGCCATGAGCTGGTGGCTGAGCCATATTGGCCACCCAACCGAGTGAACGCTGCTGACTGGGCTTCTTCCTCATATCCTACATGCAATTCAGTCTAGTGATTTCACATGTGCTCCATTGTTTAGGCATTATCAGAGATCGTGCTGAATTATACAGTCAGTCTAATGCTGCTTCCACTGAATATCTGTTCACATGGGCCACAGATGCTAAGGTCTCTGACAAATTTGCATTCTGCCTCAGTAACTCTGAAACACCTCTGTTATTTCTAGCATCAGGGTCTTGGAGTTTTTTCATGTTTAAACTGCCAAGTGTTTGTCTGTATATCTGTATGGGTTTGGATCTTTCCTCTGACTCCACCTATGTCTCTGTCTGTCAGACATGTTTCCACACTGCCTGTATTAACTTGTACACACCTATCTCTACAACCATGACAGACTTTCTATTTGTGTCTTTGGACATCTATCACTCTCTCTCCCTTCCTTTGTTCTTTTCCTTCCCTTACACCCCTCCTTTATTCCTTCCCTTTCTTACCCACTCCCCTCTCTCCATCTGCATCATCTATCTTCCTATCCTCTTCTGAATTTACTTTGTAATTCTGAATCTGTGGGCAGTGGCGTCAGATTATTGTTTTCATGTCTGGATGAAATTCCTCTTATAAAGAATCTCAGGTGAAGGAGATGAGTTCTTTTTTGAGCCATAATGAACCGTTTATTTCAGGCCTATCTAGGAATGACAGTGTTAAAAAAAAAAAAGAATAACTGGGCATTACAGTAAAGCCAAAAGTCAGATGGACCCCAGTTGAACCACTCAGTATATCCAAAAGGTGGAAAAGTGAAAAAGTGGGTTATGCCTATGGTCTCTAAAGTGGAAAGAGAACTTTCAAGACATTGTGTAAGATCATTTTCCAGGAGGCAGCTGTAGTTCATAGATACATGTGGTGTAAACACAAGCGCAATGATGAAACAGAGAAAATGTGCTTCTCCCTACGTTTTTATTTTGTATTATCCTTTTAACAAACATCGTGTATACAGAATTTCTTCATGAAGTCATAAATTATTGTTTAATGAACTTATATCTGAGTTCTTCATTGTGTCAAACAATGTCAAAGAATCATGAATGACTATGAACTGCCATAGATAAGTGATGTGAAATAAGATGAGAACATATAGAAAGGGCAGATCATAGACTGAGAACCTCACCAAGAGGTTCAGGTGAGCTGAATCTATGTCAGGGATTCAGAAAAAGACACTTGTTATTAAGGGCTTTGAGGCCAAAGGAAGTACTCTTTGTACATTCCTGTCTTTTAACTCATTTGAGGAGTTAGGTGTATTACTACTTACAGTGTTCTCTCTGCCCGTTCTTATTGTTCTCCCCAACTGGGGCTGTTATTTGAAAGCTGGTTTCTTTCATTGGGTCACATAGGCTCTAATGATGTTTTGTTTATTTTTATTATCTTCACACTACATAGTTTTAATTTACCTAATTTGACTCTTTTTTGTTGTTTTGTTTTCTGAGAATGGGTCTTACTCTGGATCCTAGGTTAGAGAACAAAACCATGATCTCAGCCCACTGCAGCCTGGACACCCCACACTCATGTGATCCTCTCAACTCAGACTCTCACACAGCTGACACTAGAGATGCATGCCACCCCTCCCAGCTACATATTAATTAATTAATTAGTTACTTTTTAGAGGTGGGCCCATGTTGCCCCAGGCTGGTCTGGAACTCTTGAGTGCAAGCAGTCCTCCCACCTCACCCTCTTAAAGTGCTGGGATTACAGGCGTGACCCAGGGCCCCAAAATGGCTTTGAGATGTTTTCTTTTTCCTTCTGCCTCCTCATGTCTTCTTTTGAAATATGCAGTGAAGGTTTCAATTCATGGACTATAGTCTCCAGGCCTGTAATTTCTATATTTCAATTGATCATTTACATTGGGATATATATATTATATATATATATACACATATATATATACACACACATATGTATATATATTGGCACTTCTTTATAAGAAAATACTTCACAGACATTTATTCTCTTAAGGAATTTTAAAAATTGTATTTTTTTTATTTTTACAATTTTTTATTATTACACTTTATGTTCTAGGGTACATGTGCACAACATGCAGGTTTGTCACATATGCATACATGTGCCATGTTGGTGTGCTGCACCCATTAACTCATCATTTACATTAGGTATATCTCCTAAGGCAATCCCTCTCCCCTCCCCCCACCCCACAACAGGTCCCGGTGTGTGATGTTCCCCACCCTGTGTCCAGGTGCTCTCATTGTTCAATTCCCACCTATGAGTGAGAATATGTGGTGTTTGGTTTTCTATCCTTGCAATAGTTTGCTCAGGATGATGGTTTCTAGCTTCATCCATGTCCCTACAAAGGACGTGAACTTACCCTTTTTTATGGCTGCATAGTATTCTGTTGTGTATATGTGCCACATTTTCTTAATCCAGTCTATCACTGATGGACATTTGGGTTGATTCCAAGTCTGTGCTATTGTGAATAGTGCTGCAATAAACGTACGTGTGCTTGTGTCTTTATAGCAGCATGATTTATAATCCTTTGGGTATATGCCTAGTAATGGGATGGCTGGGTCAAATGTTATTTCTAGTTCTAGATCCTTGAGGAGTTGCCACACTGTCTTCCACAATATTTGAACTAGTTTACAGTCCCACCAGCAGTGCAAAAGCATCCTGTTTCTCCATATCCTCTCCAGCACGTGTTCTTTCCTGACTTTTTAATGATCACCATTCCAACTGGTGTGAGATGGTATCTCATTGTGGTTTTGATTTGCATTTCTCTGATGGCCAGTGATGATGAGCATTTTTTCATGTGCCTGTTGGCTGCATAAATGTCTTCTTTTGAGAAGTGTCTGTTCATACCCTTTGTCCACTTTTTGATGGGGTTGTTTGATTTTTTTCTTGTAAATTTGTTTAAGTTCTTTGTAGACTTTGGATATTAGCCCTTTGTCAGATGGGTATATTGTAAAAATTTTCTCCCATTCTGTAGTTTTCCTATTCTCTCTGACGGTGGTTTCTTTTGCTGTACAGAAGCTCTTTAGTTTAATTAGATACCATTTTATTTTTAAAATTTTCTTATGAAATGATACATATTTGTAACTCAAAAGTTGAAGTTCAAAAACTCATATACATTAGGCATTAGATATATCCAGCTAATAGCACATATATGACCTCACATATTTTTCATTTTTGTGGTGATAAAACTTGACATACATTGTCTTAGGATTGTTTAGAGAAAGAATATGTAAATCACTAGTTATAGTCAGCATGCTGTAGAAAAGGTTTTTAAGCATTCCTCCTTTCTAACTAGAAATATGTGTTCTTGATCCAACGTCTCCTCAGTGCACCCTCTCCATTAAACACCACCCCAACCACTGGAGTCACTACCTATGTGAGGTCCATTTTTTAGATTTTTTATAGGAATGAGGTCATGTGCTATTTGCCTTTCTGATACCTGGCTTGTGTCACTTAACAAAGTGGCATGTACACATTCAGCAGATTCAGATGTATTGTCACAACTGGCAGGATTTCCTTCTTTGTTATTGCAGCAGATTTTTCCAT
The DNA here is from genome assembly GCF_000001405.40 of Homo sapiens. Taxonomy (NCBI): domain Eukaryota; kingdom Metazoa; phylum Chordata; class Mammalia; order Primates; family Hominidae; genus Homo; species Homo sapiens. The sequence continues at coordinate 10,061,235 of NC_000024.10, read as the reverse complement.
TGTGCATATATGCCCCATTTTTTTGTCCACTCTTCAACTGAGGGACACTCAGGTTGCTTCCATATTTTGGTTATAGTGAAAATGTAAAGCATGCAGCAATAATTGCATGGGTGCATGCACTGCTTCAACATACTGATTTGTATACTTATGAGTGTGCCCCGGTATTCTGATTTGCTGGATCATATGGTGGGTGGTTCTACTTGTAGATTTCTGAAGACTCTTTATAATTAAATAAAATCCATAAAGCTTCTTGTAATCCTGCACTAATTTACATTCCCACCAAAAGTGTGCAAGGATTTCCTTTTCTCTGCATCCTCACCAGAAATGAGGTGTGTGTGTGTTTTTGTTGTTGTTGTTTTTTGTTATTTGTTTTTTGTTTCAGGCTTTTGGAAAATAGGCATTCTGACTGACATGAGATGAAATCTCATTGTGGTTTTGATTTGCATTTTCCTGATGGATTAGGGATGATGAGCACTTTTTAGTGTGTCTGCTGGGCAACTGTATGTCTTAGTTTCACAAATGAGTATTCACATCCTTAGCCCATTTGTTTTCATGCTATTGAGTTGTTGGAGTTCCTTAAGTACTGTATTCACCCATTAACAGATGTATGGTGAGCCAATGATTTCTCCCATCCTGTAGAATGTCCCTTTCCTCTGTTTAGTTTCCTGTGGTGTGCCAAAGCACTTTAGTTTGATATAACACCATTCTCTATTTTTGATTGTGTTTACTGTGCTTTTGCAGTCCCATTGAGGCCATCTGCCCTCACCGATGTCATGGAACTTCTTCCTTGTGATTTCTTCTGGTATTTTTATCGTTTCAGGTCTGACATTGGAGTTTGGTGAGAAATAATCTACTTTTAAAATCTTGTATATGGATATTCAGGTTTTCCCCAACCTAGTTTATAGAAGATACTGGATTTTGCACTGTGTGTTTTTGCTTCTTTGGGAAAAGGTCATGAGCTATAAATGCAGTGACTTAGTTCTGAGCCTCTACTGTTTTTCATTAGCTCATGTCTCTGCTTTTCTAGCAGTGCTGTTATATTTTGGTATGAAAAACTTTGTAGTATATTGTGAAGTTAGGTAGTGTGATGCCTTCAGCTTTGTGCTTTTTACTGGATTGCTCTGGGTCCTCAGGACCTTTTGCCATTTCATAGCAAATCTATTATTTTCAGGTTGGTTTTCTATGAAGAATGGGTCATTGATATTTTTACAAGGGTTGTGTAGATTTTGTAGATCACTGAGGTAGTATTTATGTCAATGCCATTTAGACAATGTGTGTGTTTGTGTGCACATGCTCAGGGACAAGAGACACTGGGTGTCTTCACCAATAGTGAGGTGGGCCTTAATGTCCAGCCAGATTGCCTTCCTGGACACACACAGAAGGTCCCCTTCTGTTTTGCTGTCTTTTCACATTTTCTCCCCTGTGAGCCCGCTGTGGTCCTCCAGATTCCCTGTGTGGTGGCCTGTCTTTTCTGGGGGTGGGCAGAGGCTGGGTGAATGAAGATGGCAGAGGGGAAAAAGCATGTCAGGGAAGCCTGGGGTCATTGAAACAGAACTTGACAGGCCTGAGAGAGCCATTCTGAGAGGATGTAGACCTAGATGGGCCTCAGGAGGGAATCTGCCTGGAGGGTGAGAGCACCCTGGTTGAGTCCAAACTGAGCCCCCGGTGAAAGCAGGCCTCAGGGCAGGGAAGGGAGGTAGCAAGGAATGATGAGGCAGCTATCTCTTGAGCCTGACTTCTTACACATTGACCTCAGCTACTTATGCCTCTTAAGCAGCTTAAGGTTCCCCAGTCCTGAAATGTGAGTACTACAGTTCCCTGCTGGGTCTTTCTCCACCAGCCCATGATGGCCTGAGTTTTCTTACTGCAGTCTCCTCCCTGAGCCTTGGCCTAGCTCCAGGACCCACAGGCCTCTCAGCCCCCAGCCCTGGGGTGCTCCCCAGCCTCCTCTCTCTTCCCTCTCTGAGGGCCTAACTCCCTCGGTTAGTGCTGCAGGAGATGGAGCCACAGGCCCTGGCTGATGATCTGGGGGACTGGGCAAAGTGGTCATGACAGGTCAGGTTCTGGTTCAAAGCCAGTTCCTCCAATGTCAAGGAACAATCTGCAAGACCCTTTTACATGACACATCACAGTCACCCCACCTCAGCAATCCTGCCATAGCCTGGGCAATACCCACCGTCAGTCAACCAACTGAAGAAGCTCAGTTAGGTGGTGCCCTGCCTAAAACTGGGACCTTCACCTGCATGACCCTAGAACCACTGGACTGCAGTGGAGCCAGTCGCCCTGTATCCTGGAGGGAGAGGAGTCAGGAAGGCTCATGCCAGGCCTAGCTTCCCACAGGCCACCCCCTCTACCATGCTGGGAGGCACTCTTTATTGAGGATGCCAACACAATACTCCTTAATGATCACTTCATTGTGGAAGTAAATGTTGTGAGGAAAGGCAAACTTCATCCTGCTGCTGGTAGTCAGGATGGCTGAGTTCCTCCACCTGCCTGTCCAAGAAGGAGAAAGAGGATGGTCAAGGGACAATTTCATCTAGGTGGGCTGAGGTGGCCTGCTAGCTGGGGTGAAGCATGCGTTTCCCCTTTCCAGCTCTCCCACTGAGACACCCCCATGCCCCAGGATGACCTCAACCTGACCAGGACCTTGGGACCCTCTCCCATGCTCCCCATCCTGACCTGCAAGTCTATCATGTAGCTTTGCTGGACTTCTTCATGGTTTCTGAGCTTCTTACTCTCACCAGAAATAATCATAACTTTTAAATTGTTCTTTATGTCAAATTAAATTTTTCATTTTTACTGTCTCATGTTTTGGATGGGGCACATATTTTTACATTTATTTTCACACTTGTTGTACCTCTTTGATAAACTGCTTACTTACATTCATAATAATCTTTCTGTTTTACTTGTCTGTTCCTAATGATTCACTGAAACTAAGAATTCTATTTATGCTTATATGTTTCAGCAACCACATGTCAGATAACGATGCAGGTTACTGGAGAAATCACATATACAGGTCCAAAGGGAGTTGAAGAAGAAGAAGAAAGCAAGCTTTAAAGTCTATACATTCCTAACACTGTATCAGAAACTCAGTATTCATAGTGAAATCAAAGAATGATCACAGTCAATTCTATCTCATACCTAGACTGAAATATGAAACTTCAAAAGAAAAGAAAGTTATGAACTTTGGGCTTGTAAAATTTTTCCTATATAAATAAAATTATTGGTAACTTTATCTCACTAGAAAACATAAAAATCCATGTTCTGTATATGTGTAAATATAAATATTTTTATTTCCATCAATTATGACCTGTAAGCAAGTAATAAAGTGAAAGTATAGTACAATGATATATGGAACTTTCTCAGTCTTAAAATATTCCATTGAGAGTATTAATTTTACAAAAACCGTAAAGAATGCTTCATGAAACTACATCGTACAGTACTTTTCAGTATTTTACTTACATTTTAAATAATCAACAAATTAAAGGGAATTCTTCATCATTATTTATTACCAATGCCACTCTTCTACTTGAGTAATCCTTTTGAAATGAAGTATTTTAAATAAAACATTAAAAACAAATTATATTGTCTGATTTCAGCTTTTGATGAAATCATACTTCTGTATTTGTAGTAATGTGAGGTATAACTTTCTCCTCACAATGGGTCTCTTATAATACCAGTGTTATTGTTTTCTATGATACAAACACTGCGATATCTCATGGCTTTACTGTACATACCTCCATAAAGTAGGATTCAAACAGGTGGAAAAATTATATTTGTGACAAAACTCTAGGAAAGGGAATGGTAAAATGGGAGAATAATTTCTAACTTGCTAACTGTTGGTCAATGGATTTGTATATATTTAGATATAGACACATATTTGCACACTGTGAGTTTGCACATGTACGTATACATTTATATGATATACTTATAATGTATGGGTTATGTAACATTTTAATCCACAATTTTATATGTGTGAAATTTGATAAGCGGTCACATTATTTTATACTCAATTTGATGGAGAACAACAAAATCTCTGTCAACATTCATTTCAATTAATCCAATAATGTTAACTGCTGATAGCTTCATTTTCCTTGTTCCCTGTTGGCAACCTGAAAGTTCATTTTCACTCTAATTAGCTCTCAGGGTGTGATCCACAACAGACTGTCACCTTGCTGTGGATTGTGACCTCTAACTCCTCCTCTTTCTTCCTATAGCAGTCCTACCTTTGCATATTTAATAGACTTTTTACATGGTTAAAAGGATAAAAGTGCAGTGAAATGTCAGGCCATGCTGTGAAATGTTCCATTGTTTCTATATGTCTAATTGACCTTTCATGTTATAGAGGACAAAAAAAAAACAATTCAATACATTTCTTAGTGTCCAGTCCAATGCAATCTTTCTTATTAATATGCCAAACCTATCCCTTCAAGGCACTGATATCTAAACAAGCCTGGATGTCTCAAAATCTCTTCTCATTAATAACCATTATGTTAATCACTGTTGCCCAGAACTGGAATCTGACTGTAAAATCCTTAGATGGAAATTGCTATAATGGGTCAGAGTGTGGGAATGACTATTTTTTGGCATAATTACCATGGTCATCTTACTGAAAAATATCACTTTAGGTGGCACCTTTTAGTTACATAAATCCTGTTATTAATTTTTGATTTCCCACATTTATATGATATTGCACAAGTAAAGATCTTTGATAACTTAAATGGTTAACTAAGCAATTACTAAAATAACTCACAGCAATTCGAACATTCATGTACTTACTAGGAGTGCAATACCTCGTTAACTACTGATTAAAACAAATTTGGAAAACTGGTTACTAAAGTACATATTTCAGGGTATTTTTAAAAACTACCCATACCATATATGATGCCTCACCTGCAAGGATAAAGTTTTAGAATAAATGTTTCAAAGCAAAGAAATGTAAACAATACTGGCAATATGGCATCCCAGTTGTGTGCCTAAGTGCCTATTTGTGCCTCTAGGTTGCAATTTAAATAGTGTAAAATATTACCATTTTCATCCACCCCAGTACTTCTTTTATTTAAAACAAAGAAATGTTTCACTATTTGCAAGAAAAAAGTGAGTTCTTACTCTTTTGTATAGTTGCTATTTCTATTAACTTATTTTAATCTTCCTATGAACTATGAATGCTTAGATAACTTTCAGTTTATCAGTAAAGTGAGAAGGTAACTACTTAGCTCACAATACAGTACTATGGGATAATATGACTCAAGAAATATAGATTTCCATAGATAACACCTGGGATATACTAAGCAATACACAATCCTTCTTTTATCAGATGCCTATCATAATTCTTCAAATACATGGCCATAATAAAAAGAGAAGTGTTTATATACAAAATAAATGTCTTTTGTCCTTGATATCTCTCCACATTTGTGTTCATAACCTCAACACAAAAACACCCATGTACTCAGTTTTCAGCTGAGCTGACTACCAGTTATTAGGATTCAAGTAAATAGAATAAAGATTTCAAAAGTAGATGACTAGATATGAGAAATAATTATTCTCAAGTGCAGTGCAACAGCAAATTTGAAAAATAAATTAAATCTAATGTATTGCAATATTCTAAAATCTAAAATTTCCTATTAAAGTCCAGTTTTGATGCCTGGAATCCCAGCTTTTTTGGAGGCTGAGAAGGGAGGACATTTCAAGCCCAGAGTTGGAGACCAGCATAGGCAATCTAACAAGACCTAACTCTACAAAAGTAATTAATTGATTAAATAGGGTATGATGGCACTCATCTGTTGTTCTACTTACTCGGGAGTTCAAGGTTGCAATGAGGAGTAATGGCACACTGTACTTCAGCCTGGGCCATGGGGCAAGAATTTGTTTCTAGAAAATAATATGATGAAACAAAACAAAATAAAAACACTTTCAGGTGTTTTTTGGAAGTTTGTATAATTGCTCCAAAAGCATAGACATTGTTTAAAGTTGAGCAGTTCATGGGGAATGGGCAGAGATGTTGGGAAAACCAGTCCCACACCACCCAGCAGGTACCCTGAGTCCAGTGGAGACAAAGGAATTCGAAAGAGACAGAATAAGAGTTTAAAAGGTGGGTCTAGGGGACCAGAGCATTGGAGGCTTGCTCATGGCCTGAGCTCCCAGCCTCCATCCAATTTATTGATTTACAAGCTCTTGTTCTTAGAGCAGATGGGAGGGGAGGAAGGGACGAGGAAAAGGATTAATCAGTGAAGGAGAAGTCATGAGTCATTCAATAAGATGTATAGCAGGGGCGCTTTCTGTGAATTTCCTTGAGCAAAGTCATGTGTCTAAACTACTTAAGATCTTTCACTTACTGGGACTGAAATGGGTAGGAGGTGGTTTCAGGAGGAGCCAAGATGTTTGATTATACTCCACTGCTTCAAGGGAGTGTTATCTCCCTGAGCAACCTGTGGCATGCCACTGAGCTGTTATGCTCTCAAGGCATAAGAACATAAAGGAAATAAGGAGACTTTTTTCATCAGAGCCCCCCCATGGCTCCCGTGGGTGTCTCACACAGGGTAGACCAACTCATCTGGCATCCCAGAAACTCTCTTTCCCACACAGAGAAAATTATTTATATTGTTTTCCAAAAATCAGGATAAATATGTTAGAATATTATGTATAAATATCTAATAATCTTTTGTAAAATAAATACTGACAAATGTCAATCCATTGTCTCTAAAGCCTTTTCCTTCTAAATATTCACAGCTTAATTGGAGAATGAAGAGAAGAACAATAATTGCAATGTACTGTAACAAGTGTTACAATATATAAAATTAAGTAACTTAGTTGGAGACAAAGGGAGTTCTTAACTGGGTTTAGACGTGTTTGGGGAACCTTCTTAGTGCAGGAACAATCAATTGGATCTGTAAGAATACGAATTTGCAGCCAGGCACGGTTGTTCATGCCTGTAATCCCAGCACTTTGGGAGGCTGAGGCGGGTGGGTCATGAGGTCAGATTGAGACCACCGTGGCTAACATGGTGAAACACATCTCAACTGAAAATACAGAAAAATTAGCTGGCCATGGTGATGGGTGCCTGTAGTCCCTGCTACTCAGCAGGCTGAAGCAGGAGAATGGCATGAACCCAGGAGGTGGAGCTTGTCGTGAGCCAAGATCAGGCCACTGTGCTCCAGCCTGTCCAACTGATCCAGACTCTGTCTCAAAAAAAATAAAATAAAAATAAAAAATAAAGAATATGAATTTGCAAGAAGAATGTTTCAGAGAAAAACATTGTAGGAGAAAAGAAACATTCTTTCTGTCAATGATAGAAGTACCAACCATGACTATCATGCCATTTTACAAAATCTTAGACCATGCTAGCTCAATAAATATTTCTTGAATGAATCAATGAATGAAAGATATTGGGAAAAGGGTTCCGGAAGGGATTTTTAAAATTCTAAAAGGAAAGACTTTTTGCCTTTTTCTCTACGTTCTTGTTATGTTTACTACCTCATAAGTGTCAGATCTCTGAGCCCAAGCTAAGTCATCATATCACCTG